>NC_000011.10:80146605-80449635 GCF_000001405.40 Homo sapiens
ATTTTAAAGCCAAATGTGAACAGCTGATAAAAGTTATAACAACTATGATTTATTATATACGAAGGGCTTTACATACATCACATCATCATTGTCATTGTCATCATTATTACTTTAGTGTCTGCCTGTTATGCATCTGATGCTATGTTTCATATTTTATATCTGTGCTTCTCAAACTTTAAAGTGGATAAGAATCACCTGGAGATCTTGTTAAAATGCTGATTCTGATTCAGTAGTTCTGGGGATAGCCTGAGAGTCTGCATTTTTAGCCAGGTGTTACTAATGCTGGTTTTTCTTTTAAGCTTAGAGTAGCAACATTTTACAGGCTATTCTTCCTCTACATTAATGCTGTTATAAGAATTTTACAGGAACTATTATGCCCATTTTAATGAAGAAGGAACTGAGGCTCAGAGAGGTTATGAGCCCAGCCTCTGGATATAGTAAGCAGGAGACAGAGCCAGAATTCAAGCTGCCATACTTCTGGGTCCAATGTCCCTCAATATCTCCCTCAAATACATAAAAGACCATATTTAATTGAATTCACATTCCAGCATTTTAAAATATTCACTTTTATTTCAGAAACATTAGCTAAGTATTCATATATATTTTAAAAACCTAATTGAATATCAAAATATAATAAATATACATCCTTGTCCTTTATAATAGCAGTCTAGTAGGAAGGCAGAGAAATAAACAAGCACTAAAACATAATATGAAGTAATCAGTACTGGCAAGAGTACAAGAAATTAAGGACTTTGATACAATCTTATAGGAATTTCAGCTGGCACAACTTTTCAGCTGGGTAATGTGGTTTTATGTCAAAATGCAAAATATGTGTACTGATTGACATATAAATTTTGTTTCTATACATTTATCCTAGAAAAAAATAAATAGGGAATATGTGACATAGGTAGGTAGGTAGGTAGCTAGGTAGATAGATAGATAGATAGATAGATAGATAGATAGATAGATAGATATTCATTGGATGTTCATTGTAGTATTATTTAAGAACAGTGAAATAATTGAAACAATTGAATAACTGAATTCAATATCCACTGGAAGAAAATTGACTAAATTATCTGTGCACTCAGACTGTGAACTACCGTAGATCTATTTAGAAGGATAAACTATAGCTATATGAATTGACATGGGTAATTATTCACAGGATATTTTATGTGTGAAAAAAACATTAGTAAATAATATGTTTGGTAAGACTGTTCATGTAATGAATGTTTATTTAACTGATAAAACTAGCACATGTAAAGTATGTTGATATCCATGGTATTTGTCTTGGGGGAGGGGATAAATAAAAGGGCTTTCACTTTCTCTTTTATCTGGTTGTATCCAATATTTTTACCAGGTGGATATACTGATTTGCAATTGGCAATAACTACAAGGATATTGCCATTGTAGAATTAAACATCCACTGTCAAAAACAAAGGGTGGGCAGAGTGTTACTGCCAGTGAGAGGCAGGAGCTCTTCTCACTGGCTGACCAGTTTTGGGAAACTCCATAGAGAGGTGACAGGACACATGAAGGTGGATGGTTGAGTAGGATTTCCTTAGGATTGGAGGAGAGGAAAAAGCACTGGAGCTTGGAGAGAAGTTAAGCAAGTCACTGTGACTTGATGACAGCGGAATAAATAGATCAGGGTGCTGTCTGCTTTCTCGGAGGTCGCAAGCAATGTGAGAAGACAATGCATATATGTATAAGACAATTCGAGATTCAAAGCAAGGCAATGTAGGAATTTAGAGAGAAGATGCAGATTTGGACAAGAATTTTTCAGAACAGGAGGATTTAGTTCTTTCTACAGGGGTTTTCAATTTTATCCCAGCCTCTGAACACCTGAATGACAGGACAAATTTCATTATAATGGTGGCACAGAAGGCTAGCAATTCTCAAGGAAATTGGAGGATGGGGTGTCAGTTTCCCTTTGATGACTCCTAGCACAGAAAGTCACTCTGAGAGAAAATTGTTGAGAGACAATGAGTAAAAGCTTGGCTGGAAAGGCTACTTGGTTTGTAGAAGCTTAGAGCATCTTTGCTACCTAAAAAGTAGTATCAGGTCCTTCTGCAAGACTAGATCCCTCTCCAAGACTAGATCCCTCTCCAAGAGCAAGGTTGTTACAACTCATCCATGTGACATCCTCTTTTGGATTCCCCAGATTGTTTACCAATTTTGGGGTTATATGCAAATAATATTATAACATGACAGTAATTTAAAAGTTAGAGCATTAAAAATCATCCATCTTTCACTCATTTATAAGTTAATTTTATATATTTTATATTGACTGCTGAGTCTTCATCCATAAGCATATATCATTTTAATAGTAACAGTAATACATACATACTCTCTTCATTGATTTTTATTACTTAACATTATAGGTACATATTTTCTCATGTAAATACACAGTCCATAATTGAAATTTTAATGACTGCATTATATTCCATTGAGTTGGTGTGCCATATTTACTTACCCAGTTGTCAGACATTTAAGCTGTAATGAGTAATATGGTTTATACATTCTTTTTATATTAAAAACTATTTCTTCACAATAAATTCCTTGGAGATAGATTATTCAGTCAAAAATTATAAATCATTTCTTGTCTCTAAAAAAGGCCAAATTTCTATGACCACTCACCTCATACGTATATGCAGTTTTATCACAATGCCACTAGTACTTTATATTATTATTTTTAAAGAAGACATCTTCTAACTTTAAAGGTGCAAATTGAGACTTGCTATTCTGTAGTTTTTTTTAAAGGTTTTCAATGGCAAGTGCTAATAAGTCTTTTATTTGATGTGAATGTTGAGCTTATAAGTACTTATTTGGTTATGAGGTTCAGTTTGCTTGTGCACTCACGCAAGTTATTTAATCAATTTGTCTTTCTGTTTCCTAGCTATAGAATGGCAATAATCAAGTGTTTATCTGGCTGGATTGTTGTGAGGATTAAGTGTGTTAATAGACAGAAAGCACCTAAAATGGTGTCTGGTACACAAAAATCACTCAATTTATGTCAGATGTTATTTTTTATTGTTGTTATTATCAGTAGGACAAGTATTGACATTAATTTGATAGAAACAAAGGATTACAATTTCTGTTTCCTATTGTGAGAATTGATAGTTCAAATCATTTGGGACATAAATATTTTCTCTAAGTTATTTATGTATCTACTGCTTTGATTATTAGGACCACATAGCCACAACTGATGGATAATTTTGAGGAAATTCCTTAGGTCCCTTGTCTCCATTTCTTCATCCTCTAAACATGAGAATGGACATACCCTTCAAGATGTTTGTGAGGATTTGAAATAATATGCATAATTAAATGGAGATAATTTAATCTTTTCTGTTTTCTTTTTTTTGAGACAGAGTCTGGCTCTGTCGCCCAGGCTGGAGTGCAGTGGCGCCATCTCGGCTCACTGCAAGCTCCGCCTACTGGGTTCGTGCCATTCTCCTGCCTCAGCCTCCCAAGTAGCTGGGACTACAGGCACCCGCCACTGCGCCCGGCTAATTTTTTGTATTTTTTAGTAGAGACGGGGTTTCACCATGGTCTCGATCTCCTGACCTCGTGATCAGCCCTCCTCGGCCTCCCAAAGTGCTGGGATTACAGGCGTGAGCCACCGTGCCCAGCCAATTTAATCTTCTTAAAGGCTAATATAAGAATTATCTTAGGAAGAGGGCTTTCTTTTTTTCAGAAATTGCCACCTTAGCCATCTTGAGGTGGGCTTCAAGGCTTTAGAGAAGAAAGGGAAACCACTTTTCATGAGAAAGAGAAGCAATTTGTTACTGAGAAGAAGAGAGGAGAGGAGAGTGATAGAAGTGGGGAGGCCAAAAGATAGCCAGGGCTTTGTAGTGACATCCTGTATTACCCTGGGACACTCCAAAATTTTCCATGTAGTTCCTATTTCCACAATATATGTAGAGTGAATTTATTTCAGGGACTGAGTTTGATGTGGGACAGTACAAAGAGAGCCCCCAGGGAAATTCAGGGACCCAGAGCTTAGTAAAGGGATATGTAGAGACACATGACCAAAGGTTGATAGGATTTTCCCCAATAAGGCTTTGATTATCCCAAAGCCATAGATTAAGGAGATCTCAAGGTACAGGGAGGCCCAGTTAGCATCAGGTGTATATCTATGTAAAACCCAGAACAGTACCTGGTGTATGAGAATTAGTTGCCCAATAAATTGGAGCATATTTAACATAAACTTTCTTTCTTACATTTGACAGGCAACTATGCATTTTCACATACATTATTTATCCTCATTTAATCTTCACAATAATTTTGGCATATTTGGGGCAAATATTTTTCTCAATCTGTTGTTTTCCTTTTTATTTTACTTATGATTATCTTTTCATTGTGCCCACATTTGAAAATTGTATGTAATTGAATATGTCAATCTTTTTCCTTGTGATTTCTTTTGTTGCTTCAAACCTTAGAAGGCCATCATTCCTCCAAGAAATCAGTAAGCACTCAATTGTATTTTTCACTAGTCATCTGATGATTTTATTTTTAAATTTTTTTTGAAAAGTTTAACTCTACACAGTGTCTTCATAAAAGCAGATATAGTGAAACAGGGATAAACTACATTTAGTGAACTAAGAAATTTTACATTAGCTAGTTGTTAGTGGATTTACATGTCATAGATATGTGTGTCTGCATGTATGTGTGTAACCACAATGACCTTGTGAGATATGTTTTATTGTACCCATTTTACAGAAAATCACATTTGCTGAGTCCTTACCTCCTGCAAGGCTCTCTTTTAAGCACTTTGCAGTCTGTCTTTACGGCAACTCTATCACAGAGGTAGGGTTATTATTTTCATTTCACATGTAAAGAAACCAAGGCATCGAGCAGCTAAATCACTTAGTCAAGGTCACAGTCCTGGAAGACGACAGTGTGAAGATTTATACCCCGTCAGTCTGACTCTCGAGCTACTTGCTTAGCTACTCCCACACACAGAAACACTGTAGATCCAAGGGGCTGGGCCCGTCACATGTTAGGTGGGGGTGGGTCTGATGATACAGTCCAGTATTTTCTTCTTTTCTTTTCTTTTCTTTTTACAACTATACTCTCTGAATCAGTCCCCCACTCCCTCCAGATTGGATAGTTGAGATGGCAATATCATTAACATAGAGACATCCTGCTAATTGCACTCAACATTTTGAAATATGAATATAAACCAATCTATAAGGCAAGAGAGAGCAAAATATTCAGAAAAGCAGAAGCTGCAGCGAGTGCAAATGTGCTTCTCAAGGCTGTTTCCACTCAGGGGTTTATGTGCCTGGTAAAAATTAAATGGCTATGTGATAAATTGACCATGAGATAAAGGAATTTTCAAGGGAATAGTGAAGGGAGGAACAAAAATGATTAAGAAAATGGGACTAACTGGGTGAGAAAAGATTAAAGGAGTTAACTGTGTATAGCTGAGCTTGGTAAAGGCAGAAAGGGAGGTGAAACACCAACAAGTATTCAAGCCCAAGAAGATCGAAGGTTAATTCCGTAGGGTAGGAGGACAAGAATTATTTCTGATGGTCTAGTCATTACTCAAATTAAATAAAAATTAATAGGAAAAGAGAAGCAAAATCAGTAGCCAGATACTTTACAAAGTATTCACACAACAACCTAGTCATATAACCAACAGCAAGAGCAGCTAAAGATCAGGTGGGAGAAATGGGAGCTGCTGGCTCCTAGGTGGTCATTTTGTTTTGCTAGGCAGCTTCCAAAAAGCCCCTGCTCTCTTACGTGGTGGGGCCGAATGATCTCTCCTTCCATTCTCGCATCATGCAACCCCTTGCTCTCCGTGTTCTGCCACCTTGCTCTTCGCTCAGCTTCTTGACCAAGCCTAGCATATGTCTCCTTGAGGACTTTCTTGACTGTTATTCCCTCTTCCTAGAAACACAGTTGGTGTAGTCATTGTCATACCTGGTCTTATTCTAACTTTTCTTCCTCATTTATTTTCCATAACTCTATATGATAGCCTTTATTATTGCTCCCTTTTTATAGATGTGGAAACTAAAGTGCAGAGAGTTTAATAGTGTGCCCCCTCCTAAACAGCTGGACTTATTTTTTTCCATTTTCTCTTCATCTTTTCAACTTTTATTCATTCTTTGAGTCTCAACTTAAGGTGACTTCTTTAAGGAAGACTTACCTGACCACCACATCTCAACTATTTCATCCTTTCAAAGTAGCCTTCACAAAATTTTTACTGCATAGCACTTCCATTTGCTTAGCAACTTGCTTTCCTTCAGCTTCTAAGCTCCATGGGAGCAGAGCCCATTGCCTGCTTGAAGTGCCTGCTGCATAGTAGATACTGAACAAACATGTGTTGAATAATTGAATGTGTATGAATTAATACTAATAGTAACTGGAATAATAAAGGAGATGGCCCTGTTCTCTTCTGTGGCCATCTGCATCTGAAATTTTTAGACCAGATCTGTATTTTATACAGTAAAAATCTACCAATATGCTAAATATACCAAAAGAAATGTGTTCAGAGGAGAGTAATAAGCATCTAAGGATGGCTCTGAGGGTTTCAGCTCAAAGCTATGTCTTTTAAGAAATAGTTGATGAATGAAAACTGGGGAAAATGGGCTATGGAAATATGCATAATTATTTTAAATATCTGAAGAACTCTATGTGTTGAGTAAATAAAACGATCAACTACCCTGGTTAATTTAATTTGCTCACCAATACCTAATACCTTCCTACCATCCTCCAAAAATACTGAATAGAAAAAAACAATTTCATAAACAAACAATTATTTTTTAGACCAAGTATATGGAATAATACAAAGGAAAAAGGCTTCTGACAACTGGGAACATAAATTTTACCTTGACTTTGAGGGATACCAACCTGGGCACAACACAAATTGACATCTCATAAAAACAGGCATATTTTTGAACGGTTGAGATTCAGCTGAATTGTATCTCATCAAAACGTAAATTCAAAACAGCTGCCCAGAGTTTTGCTGTGGATGTCTTCTACACACTGATCATATTTGATTACCTGGGCTTTCAATTATTTGCAGAGCCCAAGGAGCAGCCCCAGGGTATTTAGGAATCAGCAATTAGTTCAGTAGGTAAGTGCTGTGCCTAGAGGGCCATCATTTATGAGGAGCTATTCAATTTAACCTGAATCTTACACAAAAGTTACATTTATATAAGGAGTAGTAATTCCTTAGTCTTGTGCTCAAGCCTTCATATTTTGACTTTTAATGTTCACACTACACAACAAACACTTTGGTTAGATTAGCAGGCTGTTCCCTAGGTACCAGGT
The DNA here is from genome assembly GCF_000001405.40 of Homo sapiens. Taxonomy (NCBI): domain Eukaryota; kingdom Metazoa; phylum Chordata; class Mammalia; order Primates; family Hominidae; genus Homo; species Homo sapiens. The sequence goes on from NC_000011.10 coordinate 80,153,884, forward strand.
AGGTTCTCACTCCTCTTCTTACCATTCCTTTGCCTGATTGCTTATCTAAATCCTCATGAGCCTTAGATCCTACTTAAGCCATCTTCCCCGGAAGGCACTCTAGATCTCTGCAGCCCAAATATTTTCTTTTCTTTTCTTATGTCTTTTATGATATCCTTACCGTAGCTGTAAATTGTGATAAACTCATCTTAGCACTAAATTAGATAATATCATGCAAGGTGATTTACCAATGTATGATCTATTTTACCCTTCTGAAAACGTTAGTTTCTTTTTCTTTTCTTTTTTTTCTTTTTTTTTTTTTTTTTTGAGATGGAGTTTCACTCTTGTTGCCCAGGCTGGAGTGCAATGGCAAGATCTCTGCTCACCGATACCTCTGCCTCCTGGGTTCAAGTGATTCTCCTACCTCAGCCTCCCGAGTAGCTGGGATTACAGGCATGCACCACCACGCCCGGCTAATTTTGTATTTTTAGTAGAGACAGGGTTTCTCCATGTTGGTCAGGCTGGTCTCTAACTCCCATCCTCAGGTCATCCACCTGCCTCGGCCTCCCAAAGTGCTGGGATTACAGGCGTGAGCCACCGCACCTGGCTGAAAACGTGTTTCTAATTGAAGGCTATGTGTATCTTTTGTTTACAAACCCCAGTAGGGTATTGTGCAAAAAAAAAAAATTGTTAAATGAATCTATAGCGACTTTGAATCGACAAAGGTATTTTTATACATTTTAAATATTTTATCAGATTGTATTTATTAATATTCCAATTCACTTCAAAAGGATTTGCAGTAGAGCACCACAAAGGCAAACACACATTACAGTTTCTGGAAAGAAATAGACTCAAGTTGTAAAAAGAAGAAACATCAGGATATGTTAGCCATAAGAGTTAATATTGGGATGAACATTAAACTTGGTTCTGAGTCTCTTGATAGCCAAGGAGATACATGATATGTTTCATTATCTGTTTTGATCTGATAAAATGTAGTAGACTGATTCTTTATCATTTTTCTTATATAAATTCCAATGCAAACTTATCTCTGGTGATGTTACATAAGGGATCACTAGGTAAAACAATGAATAATGTTTTCAATACTTTTTACAACAAATACATAAGTGATCTTCTCATGGGTTTTTCTTCTGATGTTCGGTAAAGACCAGAGGTATAATTGAGACTATGTAGAGATATAAACACATAACACAATATTTAGATAAAATCCTAGATAAAATGCATATATATATATATATATATATATATATAGAGAGAGAGAGAGAGAGAGAGAGAGAGAGAGAGAATTTTTGTTCTCAGTTGGGCTTTTGAGATAAATAATTTAGGGAGTTTTCTAATATCTTCATTCTTTGTCACTGGGTTTTCATTTTATGACTAACTTATAAAGCTTAGCTGCTGGAATCATTATCAGCTACTTCTCTATTCTTATTAACTTTATACTCATAAGACTTACATTTATTGGTAATAATTAGACAAATTAATATTTATTCTTAGAATCTACAGGATACCTTACTATCCATTATTGAACATGATCCTCACAAGAACATTAACTAAGTGCTATCACTATCTCCATTTCTTATATAAGAAAATCTACTGGATGTGAAATGAACAGATACCTGAGTTCACTCTGCACGCATAATGTATACATTAACACGATGGAGGGTGGGGATGGTGGGGATGGTGGTGATGGTGCGTCCATTTTTTTCCCAAGATAATCCATTTTGAAATAGCAGTGCCATCTAGCGGTTCTTTTAGACACCAAAGGAATGAGGTTGTTTCAAGATGGCCCCTGGATAGTGTAATCAACATTTTATGCTATTCTACCATGCCTTATCTGAGCTAAGAGCATTTACTGCTAGTTGACAGATTTTTGACCTTTCAAATGGAAAGTGCACCACATCTACCCCAAATCATTCAAAGCTATTGATCCTAATAAATAATCTGACCTCAACCAGTGGTTCTCTTCCAGTTATTTAATGCTTAAGAAAGCCAACAATGTAACCTGAAGAGGTCAAATGTGATTAGGAAGGACCCATAGACATGATATTATCAGAAAGTGGCTGACCTGTGTGGGCATGTATCAAAGAAAAATGACATTTTTTCCCATATGTTTCCTAAGAAATAGGACACTGAAATATTGTTCCACAAAACAAGATGAAGACCGTGGATAACAACAATAATAATAAATAACTAATGTGGTGCTTCACATTTTAAAGGATACAAAACTATTTCACATACATTATTTCATGGCTTTCCTATTCGCATTTACAGGTAGTGCCTATTTTTCTTGGTTAGTTCATGTCATTAGCTTTATTTAGAATACTCTCTCCTATTCATGTTTACAGTAAAGCCAACTAAAGTGCCACTTTCTCCCTTAAGTGTTTATTTACCACCCCCTTCAGCTTATCACCATGAAGTGCTAGTTTTATTTTTACCCAGGTCTTACTATACCTTGTTGTTACCTGTCTTAGAATACTTATCTTTTTTGGTCTTGTTGGTGTAACTTTTGCATATGTTCTATATCCTCTATTTCATCAAATAGACTGGGTATCTTAAGCCTTGGTATCTCAAGTTATGGTTACTCTCTAAAAGATATCATCTAACTGGCCTAAGGCCTATTATCATGATGTCCAGAGACTCCTATGTAGCTGATCCTTGTTCTAGTTCGGCAGCTCAAAGATTAGGAATGCATTTAGACCAGTGTGGCCAGACTGGGAAGTCTGAGGGTAATAAGTGAGAATTATTTTCAATGCTGAGGGTTGTAGTTCTGTGCTTTACTCTGTAGTCATGTTGCATATTGCACAACTCAAAATTTGATAAAATACACTTGCCTGGTAGGAGGCAAACCCAGCACTGACTAGACCCCTGCTCTATTCTTATATACATAAGACTGAACTTGGAATATGAGTGGGGCAGAATTGAATTTTCTATAGCTTTGATCTGATCTTCACTCACACAAATAGTATCATTTGCAACTAGGCATCCCCCAAGTGAGGATTTATAAGTCCCAAAACTCACACCTCTGCCTGTCTTGAGTGATGCTGCTGATTCTTCTACCATCTTAACTACACTAACTTTCTTCTTTATACTGCAGATAACTGAAGCTTAATTGATCAACTCAAGTGATGCCTGGAGTTCTCATCACATTAATCCTTTAGTAGTGGCTGTACCCTTAGATTAATATTTGGTTCAGGGTGTGAGTTTAATAGATGATTATTTAATAAATGCAAGTATACATGAATGAATAAAACTATAAATTACCGAATGAATGGGGGAAGAAATGTATGCAAGCAGGGTATGAGATGATACTGCATTTTTATTTTCCTTGATTCATTTATTCAATAGACATTTATGAGGTACCTCTGAAGCACAGAATTCTACAAAGTGTTGGGAGAATATGTTTGAACACATGGTCAAGTGTAACAAAGTGGTGTAAGTCAGAAACCTGATTAAGGTGGTATGTTTTTCCTTCAAACTTCATAGGACACCGCTTGGCCACCTAGTGAATATAACATCCACTGATAACTGTACCAGGTAGTTGGAAAGTAGCCTCAGACATAGACAATTGTGACATTTAAAGCATAGAAAAACAGAGAAAACAGCAAGTAGCCATGGTCCCACCCCCAAGTTAAACACTGTTGACGTTTTAGTCTTTGACATTTCAAGCATATTAATGAACCCGAAGCACACACATTCTAATGTTAATGGAGCTCTTAATATGTGCCAGGTGCTAGGCACAGTTTCTCTTTGTCAATGTCATATTATTTAGCTACTGTCTTGGATGTGCTCCTTCCAGGGCTCCCCTTTAGGACTGAAGCACATATTTCCCAACTGCTAGTAAGGTTAGGAATGTTATCTTGCAGAGAGTGCTCCGTTGTTAGCCCTCACCAATAATTGCCTCAGCCATAAAGAACTGCCTCTCAAATTCTTGCCTCCTTCCAGGGCCAGTCTGTATAAGATAACTCACTCATATGAGAGAATAAAGGGCTGCCTACCCACCCACAACTTGGGACCCCACTGAAAGGCAATCCCAGTTTCAGAGCTTCTTATGGGAGTGGTTATGTTGTAACTGCTTTGCAGCCCAACTTCTCCCTCTGCTCAATGCAGCTGCTTTCTTTCCTCCACAGGCATTGGCCCTAAAGGCCCCTTTCAATAAAGCTTGCAAACACTCACCTTTGTCTGACAGCTATTTGAGAAGTATTATTACATATGATTAGGCCATATTTTAAATTCCCATTTTATAGATGATGAAACTGAAGGAGAAAGATGGAAGCATGTGGCTCTAGGTCCTGCTGAAAGGAAAAGCCTGAGCAAGATCTAAAGGTCATTTCATTACTGAGATCCAGTGTAGAATAAGCTGATTAAATGGGTTTATTAGCAAAAGAACTGATTTCAGCATCTATTTTCCCAATCCAAAAAAGAACGGCGGCAGTGGGTCCTTTCAGGTATGAACTTCTTTCTCCCACCTTTTCTACTTTATCTCATCCCACAACTCCCAACAAATAGGGATTTTCTTTTGTAGCACTGGTATTTTTGACTCAATGAAGAAGGCTCTACTAAGCAGGCTTAAACTTGAAGGTTGCGGAGGCTGGTGCTTGGAATTGAGATGTGCAAGAGGTCCCAACCTGGGAGAACCAAGTGAGATGCCCTGAGGACAAGAAGGAGACTTTGGGCCCTTAGTGCCAGAGAATTGTGTCCTGTTTCCATGGAGCTACTGGGAGCTGTGGCAAGGCCCCTGAGAGAGCGGTACAGCAGTGCAAGAGGGAGTTCACACTAAGGGTCATGGTTTTTGAAGCTGCAGCAAAATATCCTCATGTTTGGTGAATGAAGCTACTGGCATTAGAATGGAAAATATTGGCTTGGATGGTGAGCCTCTCTAAAATGGTACAAGAAGCCAAATAACTCCCCCAGATTATGGCAACACATAAACCTGGGGTTTCTGTAGGATCCCGTGGATACCACCCACTAATGTCTGAGAATGAAATTAGCAATAGTCATGTAGGCGGATGTTGGAGCAGAATTAATTTTATTTAGAGATATACAGAAGTATAACATGCCCTGCTGTTAAATGTGGTAGAACAAAATATCATTTCTTCCAAGATGAATACAGATAGATAGATACAGCTAAAATAAATGATGTACTTTTAAACTGATCATATTTCAGTGACAACATTTCCAATATTTGTGTAGACATCAATTATGTGGGTTTTAATAATCTAACAATTAATGTAATTAATGTAATATTTACTCCTAACCATTTAAATTGATTTAAATTTTTCTTTTTATAAACAACATTGTAATAAACATCCTTGCATGACTGTTTGTTTACATCTAATGTTATTTCTTTAGGATCAACTCTTAAAAATGGAATTGCTGAGTCTTATAGAATGTACACATTGTTGTGTCTTTGATACACATTCCCTATTTGCTCCCCTGAAAATTCAATCTACTCTAAGCACCCACCAGCCCATGTTCCCACATCCTCATCATTAGGTATTCTTTTTCTTTAAGAATTGCCAATTTTATGTGCAAGATGTGGCTTTTGATTACTTTTAGGTACCAACATTCACTGTTTTCTTGGAACACTTTGATATTTATAAGGCGATCAGTATAGACTCTCAGGGTAGAAGTATTTAAAAGGGCCAGATTTGCAAAGATCTAGAGTTCTTCATAAATGCTTTATTTAACCTGCCAACTATGAAAGTCTTATCTAGGATTTTTCAGGTGGAACAGACAAGTTGGATGGAAATGATAAATATAACTGCATTAGATAATAGAATTCAGTCTCTCTGTATTCCTAAATCAAAGCTGCCTTTCCATGTAGGATATCCTTAAAATACAAAGACAACAAAAAATAATATCACAAACATTGATATTGGAGTACGGACAGTTCAAAACAGCACAGAAAAGCAGATATCAAACTTTCTTAGCCACTAGGGATAGACTCTGGCCTTTATAATAATTGGCATGTTTCTCCTTCAGGTCAACATCTCCATTTCTCCAATAATTGTGCAAACACAATGGAAACATCAAATATATTAAATACATAAATAAAATTTTATGTATTAAGTACATAAACAAATGAATAGACATACATTTATGTACTTAATGATGTTTATTTGTACAAATGAATATTTATTCATTTGCTTATGTACTTATTCAAGATGTTTATACTGAACACTTACTTTGTGCCAGACGTTATATTAAGTGCTTTATTTTCATGGTTATCTCTTTCAAATCTTACAAAACAATAAAAAATCAGGCCAATGAACTTGATACTAGTATCTATATTAGTTTCCTAGGACTGCTGTAGAAAAGCACCATAAACTGAGTGGCTTAACCAACAGAAATCTATTGGCTCACAGTTCTGAAGGTTCAAAGTCCTGGATGAAGGTATCTGCAGGGTCGCTTCCTTCTGAGGGTTGGAAGCATCTGCTCCTTGCCTCTCCCTTAGCTTCTGGTGGTTTGCTGGCAATCTTTGGTGTTCCTTGGCTTGTAAAAGCATCACCCCCTCCTCTGCCTTTACCATCACATGGTGTTCTCCCTTCCATGTCTTTATCTAAATCTCCCCCTTTTACAAGAACACCGGACATGTTGGAATAGGGGCTCATCCTACTACATTATGACCATACCTTAACATGAACAGTTTTATATGCAAAGAACCTATTTTCAATGAAGTTCACATTCTGTGGTAGTGGGGTTAAGGTTTCAATATGTGAATTTGGGGGAACACAATTCATCCCATATGAGATCCCATATACAGCCATGAAAACTGAGACTCAGAATATATCTATGAGGGACACACATGCAGTATTAATTGTATGTAGGCCACCGCTTTTACTTGAGCAAACCAGGATATGAAGCCATTATATTTTCTATCAAATCAGGAGGTCCTACAACTTCAAAATCCTAGACATGTGATAGAGCAAAGTATGAGGCTAAAAACACACATAAAAGCTAAAATGACAGGGCAATCTGAAGGCCAAATTGAGTGGCTTTTATTAATTCTGAAGGGAGTCACAAAACATTTATGAGCAAGTGAGTAAAATGATGAAAGTTATGTAACTCTGGTGGTGAAATGTTGAATAAGGTCTGTATTTCCCAGAAAAAGAAATACAGTTTCATAGTAAGCACATTATCTCCCTAATACATACTCATCATTATCATGTTTTAGCTTATATTGAAGTATCATTTCTTCAGTGACAAGTGTCACAACTAAGGTTAGTGGCAAAGCTAGAGGAAGCACCCAAGATTTTCACTCCTAAGAAGTTCATCTGTCTCCTATGCTTCATTGCAGCTCTCTGATTCTCCAGCACCAACTGGGTGTACAACAGTTCCCTCTCATTCTGACACTAGCTACCTGGAGTCAGCATCATTTAAGTCAGCAGATTTAAGGATTCAGTCTCACAAGACTGCCCTTACTTCAGATCTCAGCAGCAAATCCCAGGTCCCCAGGCTACCTATATTTCTCTCCAACTTGGCTGCAAATTACAGGGTTCCCTTGATCCTCTCTCAGTTTCAATAATTTGCCAGAAGGGCTCACAGAACTCCTGAAAACACTATATAAACTTACTTACATTTACTGGTTTATTATAAAAGGATGCAGGAAGAGTCAAATGTGAGTGATATGAAGGGCAGTGTTGGGGGTGTATGGCAAGCTTCCATACCACCCTCCCAGGACCTCTAGGTATTCACCAGCCCAGAGGTTCTCTGAACCTCCTTATTCAAGACTTTACATAACTCAATCTGCAGCCCCTCCTCCCTCCCTGTGGTGAGGAGGAAGAAGAGGCTGAGAATTTCCACTTTTTAAATCATGTGTTGGTTTTCTGGTGACCAGCTCCCATCTTGAGGCTATCTAGTGGCCCAACCTCAGTCACCATATTAGTATAGACATAGGCTTGTTCCAAAGGGGCTCATTACGAATAACCAAAGACTCTCTTACCACTCAGAAAAGTGTAAGTTTTAGGAACTCTCTGCCAGGAACCAGGGACAAAGACCAAAATATGTATTTTTTATTACACCAAAGTAGTCTTAGCGTGATAGAGTGATTGAGAGAGAATATATTAATTTTTTCAATCCTAAGAAATTTCACCTTACAGTTATTCTTTGACTCATCCTGGGCATATTCATGTCTCCAAATTAAGAAAAAACACTAGGAGTTCTTTAAAAGATAGAAATTGCTCATCAAATAGCTTTAATGTACCAGGAAATATGCCATATTGGAAACAGCAAATAGCATGTTGTGATAATGGCCATTAGTAATTCCAGGCATTTTGGTTTCTCAGATACTTTTCCTGGGCTTCATTCTCACGATAGTAAAATCAGCTTAGATTTGTCTAGCACTTTACAGTTTACATGTCTTGACCTTTATCCCATTTGAACACCTAGCCTGACTGATATCCTTCCTGAAATTGACAGCTTATTTTTTTGTCTCTCTAGGATCTATTTGCCTCAGTTCGATTGGTGGAACCTAGACTCGTGTCGTTAGTGCTCTCACTATTCAAAAACAAAAACAAATAAGAAAAAGGAGAAACAAAGTCTTTCTGTCCTTTAAAATGTGGATGACTCCCATGGCCTCTGCCTAACCCACCTGACATACTGAATTTGTGAGTGTTCATCCTTCTCACCCCACTCCTAATATTCTAGCCGTACTTCCAGCCTGGCTTTGTTCTGGCCAGCCATCGTGGTATTGTGTAATAGTAACAGTTAAAGGGTGAGCAAAATCCTGCAACAGCTCTTATTATAATTATAAACAATAAAACCATCTTCATCATATGACCCGCAGCCTGTGGCTAAAGGCAAGCCAAAGAAACAAACTAACAGCTCAATGGGAAAAATAAATGCTATACGTGATTGGCACATTTAAGCCACAGCAATTCTGACAGATTATTACTGGCTTCTAGTGAGACAAGTAATGGCAGTGGGATGTCAGAACACTTCATGATGGTGGGAAGTCTAACCTTCAGGGCCAGCAGCAGTACACTGAGAGGGGGTGAACTGGGCCTTGAAGGGAACCAAAACCATACCACAAAAGAAATGTTTAGCTTACAGAAAATAAATGGAGGAAACTGATCTCTCCCTTTGATTCCTGAGAGCCTGCATTTCTTGCATGCTCCCAGCCGACCTCCAGTCCCAGATATGTATGTACAAAAAACACTCTAAAAATAAAATAAAAAGTCACCTGGAGAACAGTATGTCTCTGAATTCTATGTGACATAGATAGGCTCACCCTTTTAAACCTGCTGTCTCTCTCTGGTCTCACCAGGCTCCATATCTCCAGGGCAGTGGGCCCCAAAGAATGCTGAGTGTGGTTTACTTGGCACACGCCCTGTACTAGGAATCTCTGAGTCAAGTGACGTATGGGATTCCTGCCTCCTTGCCCCATCCATTACCAGCTTCTTCACTATGGAAATGTGCACTAGAGAAGTGAAAAGGGAAACACAAAGTGAAAATGCAGAGGAACACAAATTTCCCATCGCTTGGAACATTTCATCCTCTCTGGAAGGCAAGATTAAAGGTGGCTACAGAAGATTCTTTCCTGAGAAGGGCAGGAGTTATTTCACTAAGCTAAATTCAGGACAGGAGATGTACCTGTTTTTGAGAGGATATAATAATCACTCAAACTACTCTTCTGTGAAAAAGGAATCAGCACTATAAAATTCTCCAAAGTCAATGGGTCCATCTGGAGTAATTCCAGGTTGTCTGTGACATGTTGAAAACAAAGAGATGACCAGCTTTCCTGTGTGATTAATGACCTGAAATATGCCTGGCTGTTCTAGCGGGTCACTCAGTGTCTCAGTCAGAGATAAAGTGCTAACCTCTGCAGTCTTGGTTGCTTCAATGCCAGTTCTGTCTAGTATTGAAAAGTAGAGATAACAGCTTTCTGTTTGTCAAAGATGCCCAGAAATGATTCTGGGTACATTGTTGGCTAGTGAGCTCTCTGTCCTGGAAAAACTTAGGGAGATACTGGGAGAACTTTTGAAGGAAACATTGTTGAGGAGATCCAAAAGGAGGGGGTTTGGTTGGACTAGGCTTTCACCTCCTCTTCACTTCTGGCCTGAGTTTTCATAGGATTCCTTGGGGAACTTAAAGTTCAATAGACTTTATAACCAAATGACCAAGCGCTAACTCTAGGCCCTGTGCTAGGGCCATGGGATTATGAAGATTGACTAGACAAAATGCTTTCCCTCAAGAAGATGAATGCAGTCAAAAAGAAAGACATGAAGAGAGACTATTCTAATGTAAAGGAGTGATGTGGGCACTGGGGAAGACTGCCACTCCAGTCATCTTCTTCCCTAACCTTAACATTAATTGTGTGTGTGTGTTTGATTAACATATTTGATTGATGAGGAAATTAATCAATGGCCTTCAATGACTTGCTCATTACAACACCGGGGCTAGGACTTAAGTCTAAAACATCTGATAGATACTAAAAATGAGAGTCTACATCAAAAGTATCAATGGGCTATGTACTTGCTTGTGTTTCATTGTCTTTTCAGAAATGATTGCTCTACCTTCTGCAATTTAAAGGTTTTTCATCTTAACTACAAAGAAAGAAACAGCTTCTTCTGTAAAACTATCATGGGAAATGTGTCAGAGCACTGATTTCAGGACCCCCTGCACGGCTTTTAAACAAAAAACCAATAATCAGCCCATCCTATTATGTTCTCCTATTTCTACATTTGTGAAATGTAAATTACTTAAATGGATTCAGTTCTCATCACTGTCCACCTTCACTGCTCAGAGAAAGAGATCTCCAGTCCTTCACAGCTGCACTGCCTTCTCCATTCTACACAGCTGCTTTAGCTGTCTTTCATGTTTCTTCTTTCCTTTCTCTTGGGAAGAGTTAGCCATTGCTCCAGAGTGCAGTATCTTTCCAGTCAACCTTATTATATTTGTCTACATCCTCCACTAGATGGGACTATATATGCCATATTCACCCTGTATTTCTGGTGGATAGCCCTGTGCCTGACATGTAGAGGTTGATAGTTTATTGAGTAGTTCTGTGTTAAGAAAAATATTATGTATTTTAAGGTAAAGTTGCAGAACTGATGTGAACATTCACATTTGTAATTCATTTGATATGAGCACATTTTATCTTAGTGGGCACTGCACACTTTCGGACTGAAACCTTGTTGTCTGACTGGGATCCACATAGCTATTTCCTTTGGCCTGTACCCTGGCTTGTCTTTTCTATCACTTCTGCTTTCATTCTCTGAGCACTCACTTTCCTATTTCATCTTCTAATCTTGAGATGTGCCATTTCTGTCAAATTTCTCCAACTACAAATAGTTTTTCTATGACTTTCAGAGCATAACAGGTATTTTGGATGGAGATGTCAAATACAAGCACATAGCAAAAGCCAGTCTTCCTTTCTCTCCCAAACCAGGCCCCTGAATGATGCTCTCACATAAAAGAACCAACTCAGGAAAAATAGGCACTCTCAGGCTTTTCTTATCATTTCAACTGTTCAGTTGGACCAGCCTCATATCAAACAAGTCTTCCCTCATTGATAAGAGCTAGGGCTTCACAACCATGTGGACCTGCGGTTTAATCCTGGCTATACCACATTCTAGCTCTATGACTTATTAAAAGGTTAAAAACAGGAGATGTGTATATATAGCTAGATAGATATAGATATATATTTGCTTCTAAGCTTGACACATATTATATAACGAGCTCAAACAGTGTTTACTTTTGATTTATTTCTCAATCCACACCCCTCACTTGTCTCACGCAGAAAATTCCTGTGATAAACAGCAGTTATATACACAGAAAACTATTCACTCCCCTGGAGGTAAGAAGGTATATTGATACCCTTTTCAGAGACCCTGACTTATCCCTCTTTATAGATAATTTCACAAGAAGATGTGTAGTTTGGCACTGATATCCTTATCTTTTGGCACTTTCTTCTTTCTTCTCCATCTGCCCCACCCTAGGGTCCAACAAGCAATAAACATTCACTGAGCACTTACTGCATACCAGCACCCATGCCCTGGGATATGTGATGGCTAGGAAGACATCATCTGGGTCCTCAAATGACTCAGAGTCTACTGGTTGAAACAGTCATGCATGTAAACTCCAGAGATCACGTGATAGAAATGGAATGTTGGAGTGGGGAAAGCCTGGAGTCAGGGAGACCAGTGAGCAGGCTTTTGTGAAAGTTGGGGTAAGAGATGAGATGGTCTGAGCAAAGACAGTTACACTGGAAAAGGAGATCTGGGTCTGAGAGTGATTCCTGGGATGAGAGTCTGAGGAAAAATAGGATGTATACCTTATTCTTTAGATGCTAGCTTAGATAGCACTATGGATGGTGATATGTCCAACAAAGGCTAGAAACATGAAAAGAGAAACAGCTTTGGAATGATTGTGATGAAGCCAGATTTGGATACATGGTGTTGATGACTCTTGAAACTCAATTGGAGCTGTTCAGTGGGCAGTTGGAGATTATAATTTTGAACTCTAGGAAGCTCAATGCCTGGGATCAAAGTGAGCATTAGCATTCACTGAGTGTGTGATGAATAAATGACTGAATAATAAAAAACAGTATTCCCATTTTGGAATACATAACCTTCATCTTCTGTAATGAATATAAAGTATGTTCAGTCCTAAATAATGTATCTAAATTAACTATTTCTGGGTATACTGATGATTAACGTTTCATCTGGAGTATGCAGGGCTCACACAAGTAATAGGGTAAGTGAGATATTTCTACTATAATCAAGGAAACAAATCAGAAGAAGCATTTTAAAGTATAATGGAAAGAATAATACAGAATCATAGAGGTGAGAGGATTCTTACATTACTATATTCAATTCAGGACTTTCTGGCAAAACTTTCAAACTTGGCTCAGTCAGCACCTCCACTGTGAGGTCTTCTCTTATGTGATTTTCCTTTCTTCAGTTCCTATCCAACCCATGCCCTCTCCTAAAAGAAACAAACACTCCTTCTTCTATATGACTCCTGTTCTTGGCATGAGCTTAAAACCAGATATATCTTGGACTCGCCACATTTTAGTTGTATCACTAAAGGCACTTAAAATCTCTGGGCAATGATACTTATTCGTAATGCCATATACATGATACCTACTGGCCATTAAATACATGTAGTCAGAATAAATACATTTCATTTCATGGGGATATTATAAGAAAGAGAGACAGTACTCAGAAAGCCCTTGATGCAAAGCAGGGTCTCAATGACATCTACAGAGTACTGTAGCTGATGTGTCTATTACTGTATTCATCCCACTCTTTTATAGTTATTTTGCATTACTTTGCTGTCTCTCCCTCAATTATGAGCTCCTCATGGACAATATTGTTTATTCATCTCTGTGTTTATAGTGCATGGTATTTACTAGGTACTCAGCGATTATTGGCTACAGTGGGCCATTGAGGAATGGCTGGAAGTCCTTACCTTTAAGATCCACAGCACTGGGTAAGAAAGGGAGAGTCAATGCTAGACAAGCTGAAGGAGTGAGAGGGAGAAAAAGAGGGAGGGAGAATCCTTAACACCTATAATGGAACTCATTAAAAAAAGAGACTATTCCAAGAGCATCCTCACCCAGGAACTCTGTGACTCCTGCATTCTCAGTCTTTCCCCCTGCCCAGCTATTGAGCTAAGATTGCTTATCTATCAGTGTGTGTGTCCTAACTCCACAATTTAATGATCCATCTCAGTGGCCCTTCCTTTCTTCCTCTGGTGCTCTCTTGCCTTGCTGCCTTTGCCTTTGAGCTCATGGTCACACTTTATATAACATAATTACAGATCAGTTTGACTCCTCAGCTCCCAGAATGCAAGAGGTTACTCTTTTAATTGCAGTGAGTTCTTTTAAGTTCCCGCTTATTTTTAATTATGAATGCCTGAAGCTGGCTGGCCATGGTATTACTTTCAGCTGTGAAGAAAGAAATAAGCCCAAGAAGCAGAGAAGAAGTAATAGAAATCCCATTTTCATGCAAATTGCCCCGGTGACAAAGAAATGTGGAGAACAGAGACTTATTCCTGCATTCCTGAGAGGTGACACTGGCCTTTGAAAATGTCCAGCTCCACATTTAGAAGCGACTTAGAAAAAACTGGCTCATTACACAATAGTTACAGGCCCCAAAAAAACAGTAACTCAACTCCTTTCCTATGTTTGTTTCATTTCTGATATTTTGATTGACAGGATGGGCCTTGAGCAACACTTCTATGTTTTAAAAAATTCTGCCTTCAGGAAACGAAACTCCTCAGCCTAGCACCTAAGACTTTTTTCAATAAAGAGCTCCAGTAGCTACTATCCATAAGTAAGAATCCTCTTTTCTCACATTGCCCCTGTGGTTGCTACAGGCAAACATTATTATTATTTTTTTTCCTATTTGCCTGGTACAGCATTGAACACCACAATTATGACCTTATCATCATTATTATTATCATCTAATAATCTTAAAGTATTATTAATTTCAGTTTATTACATTAAACTGTTTATTATTAGAAACCAACTTTTAATTGCCACAAGTCTGCCCGGTCCCTAAGTGTATTCCTGCCAAAGGCCCCCATTACTGCCAAGTTCCTCATTACTAAAATACAGACCAGCTTGGGGCACCTTCAAGACAGGTGAAGTTATCTTCAGCAGAATCAGTCCTTGCTTATTAGGTGGTCTCTCCTGCTCAGTCATTGCCTGTCTCTGCTCTGAGGCATCTGCAGAATTAGAAGGGTGAGGAAAGGGGAAGAATATTTTTCACTGACCTGGTGCCTACCTGTTCCAAGAAATATACTAGGTGCTTTATTCATAGTCTTTAATTTAAATCTGGAATGACCCTGTGGGGAAAAAAAAAAAGTATAACTAGCCCTAGTTTTCAGATGAGAAAACTGAGGCTCAAATAATTTATGCAATTTACAAATCTATTGTCTTGGTTTGGGTTCCCCAGAGGCAGGTACTGAGAGAAGGAGTTGATTACAAGTAGATTATTTGGAAGAACACACCTGTAGAAGTCAGGCAGTGAGATAAGTAAGGGAAGGTCTGTGACGAGAAGTGCTTTATCAAGCCAGCAGTCACCAAACTGGGACCCACTGGAGCACAGTCTATGGTAAGACCTGAGTTTCACTGGATTGTCCCAAGTGAGAGAAAATGAAACTGAAGTGTCATTCACAAACTTTTGTCAGCCATTGCTTAATGACTGTCGCAAGGATGTTAGTTCCCTGCCCCATCCAGTCTTCCAGGCAGAGTGGTCCTTTCCCTGTTTCAGAGAAAGTGCTCATTCAAAGAAATGCAGATACAGGTAAGTGGAGTTATTTGTTACTCACTGAAGAGGTAGGGACTAATAGATATAAGGAAAGCAGGGATCAACCATATCTGCTATAGCCACATAATTAATAAAGATCAAAAGAGGAATTCAAACCCAGAGTCACCCGACTCTAAAGCCTATGATCATTCTACTACAGTATACCGCATCACATGCCTATAGAAAGATTAAGACTAAATATAACTGGAAGTATGTTTGCCAGTCTGTATTCAGGATCTATACCATGCACACAGAACAAAATATTAAAGTTACCAAATACTCAGTACGCAACTGAATTCATAGCCTGACAAAAATGGGCATGCCTTCTCCTCTCATACTGCCACTTCCTTCAGGAAAGAACATGCTATGTCAATACCCCGTTTAGTACACTACCTTCACCCCACCCCAAGGTCCTACCATATCTCCTGTAGAACTAGCACACCCTTTTCATGGCCAGAAGAAAGGAAAGCCCCCAGATGGCTAGTTCTCCCAGCTTTCTAAGGAAGTAGTATCACCGAGACGCCTTCTGTCATGCTCTGGGCCATCACACCTCCAAGAGCTGCTGGAGGGAAGATTTGCACAATACCATCTATATTAAACAATTATCCATCTTCTTCCAGGAGACTACCAAGACCAAGGACAGCAGCTACTCACCCTACATTTGCTAGTGCCAGTTTCCCCCCAGTCTTCTACCATCATCCTGGTCTTGCATTGTGCATCCTAGAACTCAGTCACCTATCAGCACACTCCTCTAACTTTTCAACTGCTGTCTCAAAGTTCTTGTCTTCTATCTCTTGTCTTACCTGGCCAACAATTACACCTTATTTCCCTGTAACTATCTTTAGTGTGGCTAGTTTTGTTTTTATTCCCACATCAGAGACTGGGTGTGAGGTGGCTGTTTCTTTCTCCCTTCTTTCAAACATTTTCATCTTCCTCCTTCTTCAAAAACATAATTTATTTGAAATAGACAACATTAGACTTTATCACACAATCATCTTTCTGATTGCTGTCAACTACCTGCCTCCTCTTCAATCTCCTCATTCACTGATGATTTTAGCACCTGGTTTGCTATTTCTTCTTCATCTCTATTCATTCCAAAATTCTTAGCAATTTTTAAGATTCATTTGGATGATCCATTCAATACTTTTTTTCACTCTGTTCTTTACATTCAGCTCCATTGATTTTTCCTCCATCTCACCTGTTATGAACTCAATATTTGCTCCCCACCCCCAAAAACAACAACAAAAAACTTATATTTTGGAAGTCTAACTCCCAGTATAGTGGTATTTGGAGATGTGGTCCTTGGAAGGTAACTCGGGTTAGTTAGGTCCTGAGGGTGGGGCCCTCATGATGGGATTAGTGACCTTATAAAAGAAAAAAACATTCTCTTTCTCTCTTTCTGTCTCTCTCTGTCTCCAGATCTCTCTCCATGTTCACAGTGAGGAAAGTCCATGTAAGAAGACAGCCACCACCATAGGTCAGGAAGAGAGCTCTCACCAGCATCCAATCATGCTGGTGCTCTGATCTTGAAGTTCCAGTCTCTGGTACTGTGACAAAATATATTTTCGTTTTTAAGCAGCCAGTTTATAGTGCTTTGTTATGGCAGCCTGAGCTATTACATCCCCACCATCCACAATTATTTTACCACTTCCTCCATGTCCAGGTCACTTACTTTTACACCCCCATACTGGCCTCCTTAATCTTAATTAAAATCATTTATACTTCTCCTTTTGTTTTCCATCTATTCCATTTCTTCTTTTTCTTACTTACCTCCTTATTCAGCTGAGACCATGTGGCTCAACACTATAACCACTCCTTTGCAAACATAGTTAATTATATTCCCTTCACCCTTCTTTCCTGGGAGAGCTCTAAACCTATGTAAATCTATTTAAATATAATTATCCTACCAACTCTGTTTCTTCACGTGACAACTAAACATTCTAGGAGATACACACAGCTTTGCTGACTGGTCTCACTTTAGAAGTATGACCAAAAATCCTAGGAGGTATTCCAGAATTCCTGGTGATCCTACAATCCTTCCTTAATACATTTGTCTTTCAACTCACCAGATGAATATTTTACATTTTTGCATCTCTTCAAATCCACTTCTTCTCCTTCACTTTCATTACTTAACCCTTGAATGAGAATAAAGAGGCAAAGACTCTCACACTGGAGACCTACTTGATATCTCCCCTGGAATGTCTAAGATGCATCTCAGACATTACATTATCACTAACAACTCTTGCCCATGCCCCCAGTGTTTCCCAAATTCTTAGTAAATGCCATAATCATCCCTCTTGCTGATAAAACCAAAACCCAAGTTGTTCTTGATCATACAGTTTTTCTTTACTCCACTTCCAATTAATCCATTCCATCACCTAGTAAATATTGAGCACCTACTATGTGCTATTGTCCTAGGCATTAATGATACAGATATTAATAAAACAAATAAAAATTCTTACCCTCATGGAACTCACATACTTGTCCTTTGACTCTATCTTGAAAATGCATTTCACATCTGTTCACTATTCTCCACCTCTACTCTAAGCCAGCACCCTCTCTCATTGGAAAAACTACAGTGGCCTCCTTACTCTTCCCCTTACTTCCACACTTGTTCCTTTACAATCTGTTCTCTGCACAACAGTAGAGTGAGCTTGTGAAAACCCTGCATGTATGGTCCCAGGGACTCTCCACTGTGCTTGCAACAAAATCTAAGACTTCACCCTGACCCACATGCCTGACTTCACTGCCCCAGGTTTCTCCATTGCTCCCTGGGCTCAGGCATCATTCACTCAGCAAACATTCAGTTCATAACAGGTGAGATGGAGGAATGTGGCTCAACACTATTACCTTCTTCCCATTCTGCTTTGGAACTATTGCATCAACTTTCTGCCCTGGCATTCACGACCCAGTTTAAATATCACCTCCTCAAGGAGGCCCTCCTTGATCATCAAATATAATATAGTCCCCAGTCACTTTCTTTTTTTTTTTCTTTTTTTTTTTTGAGACAGAGTCTCACTGTGTTGCCCAGGCTGGAGTGCAGTGGTGCAATCTCGGCTCACTGCAAGCTCCACCTCCCGGGTTCACGCCATTCTCCTGCCTCAGCCTCCCGAGTAGCTGGGACTACAGGTGCCCGCCACCATGCCGGGATAATTTTTTTGTATTTTTAGTAGAGAAGGGGTTTCACAGTGTTCGCCAGGATGGTCTTGATCTCCTGACCTCGTGATCCACCCACCTCGGCCTCCCAAAGTGCTGGGATTACAGGCCTGAGCCACCATGCCCGGCCACTTTCTTAAGAGTCACCCTGTTATGCTTTCACTGATTTCTCCCCTAACACCCCTTTGCACCTTTCTCTGGGCTCTTAGTACTTTGATATCTTTTCTTTTTCACATTTATGTGATTGATGTACTTATATTTTCTTCCCCCACTTTATCTTCACTAAAGCTATGGATTCTGTTAGACTTTTCATTATTATATCTTCCCCTGCACCTTAAACAGTACCTTGTACATAGTAGAGACAAAGTCATAT
Organism: Homo sapiens; assembly: GCF_000001405.40. Classification (NCBI taxonomy): domain Eukaryota; kingdom Metazoa; phylum Chordata; class Mammalia; order Primates; family Hominidae; genus Homo; species Homo sapiens. The sequence continues at coordinate 80,172,667 of NC_000011.10, forward strand.
GTATAATTTTTGGTCTTTTGAGTTGGAATGTTGCTCTATCACCCAGGCTGGAGTGCAGTGGCACCATTATGACTCCCTGCAGTGCCAAACTCCCAAGCTCAAGCCATCCTCCTGCTTCAGCCTCTTGAATAGCTGGAATGACAGGCACATACCACCATGCCCTGCTAATTTTCAAAATTTTGTAGAGACAGTGTCTTGCTATGTTACCCAAGCTGGCCTCAAAGTCCAGAGCTCATGCAATCCTCCCACCTCAGCCTCTCAAAGTGCTAGGATTATAGGTGTGAGCCACTGCACATAGCTATAAATTTTTTTTAATGAAAAGAAGGTAGGCATATATGAAAAGAAATTATTTTGGACTAGGGGTCAAAAGTTCAGTGTTTGAATGCTAGTTTTTTTCACTAACTACTGGGTATGGCCTTAGGTATAACATTTCCTTGGACTTACTTTCCTCATTTATGAAATGATTGTAATGTGAATGCTGGAGCTAGATATGCCCAATTTTTAAATTCTGGCTCAAGCTACCCCTGGATATATGACTTAAGAGAAACTACTTAACCCTATACTCTCCATCCAGAGAACTGTTGTGAGAATTAAATAAACTATGAAAAAACCTAGCGCAGAGCCTAGTACATGTGAGAACTCTAAAATCCACATTTTTTTCCTTTTTTATTATGAGATATAATAAGCAATGGTCTTAGCTAAAAATATATAGAATGAGTGAAGCACACACAAACTTAGAGTGCAGAAATTCATTTTTACCTTGTTCTTATTTCAAGGCATAGCTAGGAACAAAAAGACATTCCCAGCTTTGCTCAGTTCCAGGCTTGAATATATTAAGCTAATTAAAATAAATAAAGAATAAAAAGAATTCCACCAAGTATGCACATAGAGTGAGCACATAATGTTTACACTCAGAAGAAAGAGGTTTACACTAAACTTTGCATAACATGAGCCAGTCTTCCTTCCCAGCTTAGGCTGTGCTAGGTGAATTGAATCTAAAAGAGAGCGAGCAGGAGCAGCAAGTGCCAGGAGCCTCTTCCACTCTTGCAGTCTTCAGGCATGACAGCACCTGGGGCAACACCTGGGTACTTTTGGAGGCACCTGCTGCCTCAGGGAGTCTCATACATGGCACAGCTGCTCTGAGAGCCCCTGCCTCCCTCCTTGACATTGTCTTCCCAGGGGAGAAAGGGAATCTACATTTAGTGAGTCCCAACATCTGTCAGCCACAATCCTAGGTGATATATAAGCTTCACAACAAACCTTAGAGCAGGTAGCATTTTTGACATTTTACATTTGTTGGGTTTCTGCTACATGCCAAGCCCTCTGACAAGCATGTCTCATACTTCATCTCAGCTTTCAAAGTAATCCTGGAAGAAGACATAATTGTGCACTTCGCGTAGATGAGGAAATTAAGGTTTAGAGAGGCTGAATAGCTGCTAGGAGTCCTTCAAGCAGGGAGTGGAAGAGCTGAAATTAAAAAGTAGTTCTAGCTAACTCCTGGACCCAAAATGTGAATCAAGTTTACTAAATTAGAAGAATTTACAGAACCCAGAATAGAGCCTATGCACGCATATATATATGTGGGATACTGGCAGGTAAGAGATTAGGTTTTTCTGTTAAATCACCAAGGAAGGCTGGAGGATTAAATGAGATAATGTATGTAACTTGCCTGGTACATTACAGCCTGCAAAAGGTGAGTCATTATTATTATCAATTACTTAAATTCTACCTTCCCCTGGAAATAGTCTTTCATCTTTTAAAGTGAGCTGTTTCAACTATGGCATTCTAAAGAAATTTAGCTGGACTTTTCCTCTGATACTTAGCATTTTCTCCCTTGTTGATAATATATTTCTTCTTCCTTCTTATTTTCTGTTAAGACTGCATTTTCCTTAAGGATGGGATCTGTCTGGCTTGTCTTTTGTATCTCACATATCTAGAATACAGCTGTGTACATCATTTATGATCATGGCATATTTGTGGAAGCAAGAAAAAGTAAAAGAAAAGAAAAGAAAGAAAAAGTGAAGAAAGGAGAGAGAGAGGCAGAAAGAGGAAGGAAGGAGAAAAGAAAGAAACAGAGAAGAAAAGAAAAAAACAGCAAGAGAATAAAGGAGATAAAAATTCAAAGCACAAAGCCTGTACACATTAGAAAATTATGCCTAAATCCAGTGAGTGCTGGTAAATAATAATAACGAAAGTAATTATCATTTAAATCAGTATATCAGCATGCATCTGTGATACAACAACATACATTTGTGAATACCTATCATCTGCTGGATACTACTCTAATTGCTTTCCCCACATTATCTCAGGTAGGTATCACTGAGATCTAAACTCTGTAAATGAGAAAACTGAGGCACGGGTGCCTCAGTATTATATCTGGACTCCCATAATTAGCCTGAGTAGTCTTCCCACCCTCTACCCTCTGAAGACTTCACTGTGTGTCGTTCCTCTCTATGTGTTCATGTGTTCTCATCATTTATCTCCTGCTTATAAGTGAGAACATGTAGTATTTGGTTTTCTGTTCCTGCATTAGTTTGCTAAGGATAATGGCCTCCAGCTCCATCCGTGTTCCTGCAAAGGGCATACTCTCATTTTTATGACTGCACAGTAGTCCATGGTGTATATGTTCCATATTTTCTTTATTCTACCATTGATGGGCATTTAGGTTGATTTCATGTCTTTGCTATCATAAATAGTGCTGCAGTGAACATACAGGCACATGTGTTTTTATGATAGAATGATTTATATTCGTTTGGGAATATACCCAGTAACGGGATTGTTGGGTCAAATGGTAGTTATGTTTTTAGGCCTTTGAGGAATCGTCATACTGTTTTCCACAGTGGTTAAACTAGTTTACACCCCCACCAGCAGTGTATATGTGTTTCTTTTTTTTTCAGCTTCGCCAGCATCTGTTATTTTTTGACTTCTTAATAATAGCCACTCTGACTGATGTGAGATGGTATTTCATTGTGTTTTGATTTGCATTTCTCTAATAATCAATGAGTTGAGCTGTTTTTTATATGATTGTAGGCCACATGTACGTCTTGTTTTGAAAAGTGTTCATATCCTTTGCCTACTTCTTAATGGGTTTTTTTTCTTGTACATTTGTTTAAGTTCCTTACAGATGCTGGATATTAGATCTTTGTCAGATGCATAGTTTGCAAAATTTTTCTCCCATTCTGTAGGTTGTCTGTTCACTGTGTTGATAGTTTCTTTCACTGTGCAGAAGCTCCTTAGTTTAGTTATATTCCATTTGTTAATTTTTACTGTTGTTGTCTTCATCATGCAATCTTTGCCCATTCCTGTGTCCAGAAGGGTATTACCTAGGTTGTCTTCCAAAGTTTTTATAGTTTTGGGTTTTACATTTAAGTCTTTTATCCATCTTGCGTTAATTTTTATATATGGTGTAAGTAAGGGGCTCATTTTCAGTCTTTTGCATATGGCTAGACAGTTGTCCCAGCACCATTTATTAAATAGGGAATCCTGCTCTCATTGCTTGTTTTTGTCAGGTTTGTCAAAGATCAGAGAATTGTAGGTGTATGGTCTTATTTCTGGGCACTCTATTCTACTCCCTTGGTCTATGTGTCTGTTTTTGTACAAGTACCATACTGTTTTGGTTACTTTAGCCCTGTGATGTGGTTTGAGGTCAGAGAGTATGACGCTTTCAGCTGTGTTCTTTTTACTTAGGACTGCCTTGGCTATTCAGCCTTTTATGTTCCATATAAATTTTAAAATAGTTTTTTCTAGTTCTGTGAGGAATCTCAATGGTAGTTTGATAGGAATAGCATTTAACCTACAAATTACTTTGGGCACTATGACCACTTTAGCAATATTGATTTTTCCTATCGACAAGCATAGAATGTTTTTCCATTTGTTTGTGTCATCTCTGATTTCTACGATCAATGTTTTGTAGCTCTCCTTGTAGAGATATTCAGCTCCCTGGTTGGCTGTTTTGCTAGGTATTTAATTCTTTTGGTGGCAGTTGTGAATGGAATTGTGTTCCTGATTTGGCTCTTGGCTTGACTGTTATTGGTGTACAGGACTGTTACTGATTTTTGAATGTTGATTTTGTATCCTGAGACTTTACTGAAGTTGTTTATCAGCTTAAGGAGCTTTTGGGATGAGACTATGGGGTTTTCGAGATATAGGATCATGTCATCTGCAAACAAGGATAGTTTGACTCCTTCTTTTCCTATATGGATGCCCTATATTTCTTTCTCTTGCCTGATTCCTCTGGCCAGGACTTCCGATACTATGTCGAATAGGAGTGGTGAGAGAGGGCATCTTTGTCTTGTGCTGGTTTTCAAGGGGAATGCTTTCAGCATTTGTCCATTCAGTACGATGTTGGTGGTGGGTTTGTCAGAGTTAGCTCGTATTATTTTGAGGTATGTTCCTTCAATACCCAGTTTATTGAGAGTTTTTAACATGAATGGGTTGCTGGATTTTATCAAAAGCCTTTTCTTCATCTACTGAGATGATCATGTGGTTTTTTTGTGTTTAGTTCTGTTTACATGATGAATCACATTTATTGATTTGTCTATGTTGAACCAACCTTACATCCCAGGGATAAAGCCTACTTGATTGTGGTGGATAAGCTTTTTGATGCGCTGCTGGATTTAGTTTGCCAGTATTTTGTTGACAATTTTTGCATCAAAGTTTATCAAGGATATTGGTCTGAAGTTTTCTTTTTTTGTTGTGTCTCTGCCAGGTTTTGCTGTTAGGGTGATGCTGGCCTCCTAGAATGAGTTACGGAGGAGTTCCTCCTGCTCAACTTCTTTGAAATACTTTCAGCAGAAATGGTACCAGCTCTTCTTTGTACAGCTGGTAGAATTCAGCTGTGAATCTGTCTGGTCCTGGGCTTCTTTTTTATTGCTGGTAGGCTATTTATTACTAACTCAATTTCAGAGTCATTATTGGTCTGTTTAGGGATCCAATTTCTTCCTGGTTCAGTACTGGGAAGGTGTATTAGTCTGTTCTCACACTGCTATAAAGAAATACCTGAGACTGGGTAATTTATCAATAAAAGAGGTTTAATTGACTCACAGTTCCGCATGGCTGGAGAGGCCTCTTGAAATTTACAATAATGGCAGAAGGGGAAGCAAACACATTCTTCTTCACATGGCAGCAGGGAGAGAAGTGCTGTGCAAACGGGGGAAAGCCCCTTATAAAACCATCAGATCTTGTGAGAACTCACTTACTATCATGTGAACAGCATGAGGGTAACCACCCCCATGATTCAATTACCTTCCACTGGGTCCCTCCCAGGACATGTGGGAATTATGAGAACTACAATTCAAAATGAGATTTGGGTAGGGACACAGCCAAACCATATCAGAAGGTGTATGTGTCCAAGAATTTATGAATTTCTTCTACGTTTTTTTGTTTATATGTATAGAGGTATTCATAATATTCTCTGATGATTGTTTGTATTTCCATAGGGTCAGTGGTAATATCATTCTCTTTGTTTCTGATTGTGTTCATTTAAATCTTCTCTCTTTTCTTTCTTATTAGTCTAGCTAGCAGTCTATCAATTTCATTAACTTTTTCAAAATACCAACTCCTGAATTTGTCTATCTTTTGAGTGGTTTTTCATGTCTCTCTCCTTCAGTTCAGCTCTAATTTTGGTTATTTCTTGTCTTCTGCTAGCTTTCTGGTTGTTTTTTTTTTCTGGGTTCTCTAGTTCTTTTAGTTGTGATTTTAGGTTGTTACCTTGAGATGTTTCTAACTCTTTTTTTTTTTTTTTTTTTTTTTTTTTTGAGACAGAGTCTCGCTCTGTTGTCCAGGCTAGAGTGCAGTGGTGCAATCTTTGCTCACTGCAACCTCTGCCTCCCGGGTTCAAGCGATTCTCATGCCTCAGCCTCCCAAGTAGCTGGGACTACAGACGTGCACCACCACACCTGGCTAACTTTTGTATTTTTAGAAGAGACAGAGGTTCACCATACTGGCCAGGCTGGTCTCAAACTCCTGACCTCAGGTGATCCCCCTGCCTTGGCCTCCCAAGTCCTGGGATTACAGACATGAGCCACCATGCCCAGCATCTTTCTAACTTTCTGACATAGCCATTTAGTGCTACAAATTTCCCTCTTAACACTGCCTTAGCTGTGTTCCAGAGATCCTGGTATGTTGTATCTTTGTTCTCATTACTTTCAAATAATTTCTTGATTTCTGCCTTAATTTCATTATTTACCCAAAAGTCATTCACAAGCAGGTTATTCAACTTTCATTTAACTGTGTGGGGTTGAGTGAATTTCTTAGTCTTCATTTCTAATTTGATTGTGCTGTGGTCCAAAAGATGGTTATGATTTCAATTCTTTTGTATTTGCAGAGAAGTGTTTTACTTCTCATTATGTGATTGATTTTAGAGTATGTGCCATGTGGCAATGAGAAGAATGTTGTCTCCGTTGTTTCGGGGTGGAGAGTACTACAGATGTCTATCAGGTCCATTTGATCCAGTGCTGAGTTTAGATTCTGAATATCTTTGTTAAGTATTTATCTCAATAATATGTCTTATATCATCAGTGGAGTGTTAAAGCCTCTCACTACTATTTTGTGGGAATCCAAGTCTCTTTGCAGGTCCCAAACAATGTGCTTTTTGAATCTGAGTGCTCCTGTCTTGGATGCATATGTATTTAGGAGAGGTAGATCTTGTTGAGTTGAACCCTTTACCACTACGTAAAGCCCTTCTTTGTCTATTTTGATCTTTGTTGTTTAAAGTCTGTTTTGCTTCAGAAACTAGGATTTCAACCCCTCATTTTTTCTGTCTCCCATTTTCTGGGTAGATTTTTCTCCACCTCTTTATTTTGAGCCTATAGGTGTCATTACATGTGAAACAGGTCTCTGGAAGACAGCATACCAATGGGTGCTAGTTTTTTCTCCTGCTTGCCACTCTGTTTCTTTTAATTGGGGCATTTAGCCCATTTACATGCAAGGTTGCATGGATTTCATCCTGTCTTCATGATGTTAGCTGGTTATTTTGCCAACTTGTTTATGTGGTTGCTTTATAGTGTCACTGGTCTGTGTGCTTCAGTGTGTTTTTGTGGTGGCTGGTAACAGTCTTTTCCTTCCATATTTAGTGCTTCCTTCAGGAGGTCTTGTTAGGCAGGTCTAGTGGTAACAAAATCCCTCAGCATTTGCTTGTCTGAAAAAGATCTAATTTCTCTTTTGCTTGGAATCTTAGTTTGCCAGAATATTAAATTCCACATTGGAACTCCTTTTCTTCAATAATGTTGAATATTGTCCCACAATCTCTTCTGGCTTGTAGGGCTTTTGCAGACAGGTCTGCTCTTAGTCTGATGGGCCTCCCTTTGTAGATGACCTAACCTTTCTCTCTAGCTGCCTTTCACATTTTTTTTTCTTTCATTTAGACCTTGGAGAATCTATTGATTATATGTACTGGGGATAATCTTCTTGTGAAGTATCTTACTAGGATTCTCTGCATTTCCTGAATTTGAATCTTGGCCTCTCTAGCTAGGTTGGGGAAGTTTTCATTGTTGCTATTCTGAAATATGTAATCCAAGTTGGTTCCATTCTCTCTATCTCTTTCAGGGACACTAATGAGGCATAGATTTGGTTTCTTTACAAAATCCTATATTTCTCTGAGTTTTTTTTTTTTTCTTTTTCATTTTTTTCTCTATTCTTGTCTAACTCTCTTATTTCAAATAGCCAGTCTTCAGGCTCTGAGAATCTTTCCTCTGCTCGGTCTATTCTGCTATTAACACTTGTAGTTGCATTATAAAATTCTTGTAGTGTGTTTTTCAGCTCTACCAGGTTGGTTATGTTCTTTTTTATGCTGCATGTTATGTCAGCTCCTGCATTGTTTTATCATGATTTTTAACTTTCTTGGATTGGGTTTCAACACACTCTTGTAGCTCAATGATCTTCATTCCTATCCATATTCTGAATTCTATATCTGTCAGTTAAGTCATCTCAGCCTGGTTCAGAACTCTTGCTGGGGAGGTGATGCAGTCGTTTGGGGGAAAAAAAGGCACTCTGGTGTTTTGAGTTGTCAGGGTTCTTGCACTGATTCTTTGTCATTTTTGTGGGATTATCTACCTTCAATCTGTGAGGCTGCTGACCTTTGGATTTTTTTTTTCTTTCATCTTACTTGATGACCTTGAGGGTTTGATTGTGGTATAAGGTGAATTCATTCAACTGGCTTCATTTCTGGAAGATTTTAAGGGGCCAGTGCTCTGCTCTCAACTCCTGGACTACAAGCTGTAACTCTGGGGACTTGTATTGGGCCCCAACTTTGTTCTCTGGCTCCTTGAGGTTAGGAATCTTCTACTGCACTGTAGGGTTCAAGGTGCTCCTGGACCACTGGTCACTACACTTCTATGGGTGGTGACAGCCAAAGTGCTTCACAGTGCAGTGACAGTGGAATTTGTCCTCATAGTGGCAGTTGTGGCAGAATGTTAGTGGGTGCTGGGTAGCCTACCTCTCTTTGGACGTTCACCACAGTGGCAGAGACAACACAGCTGGGGGTGCAGTAGGCACCTGCTGGGAACTGTGTGCCTGGTCATGCTGGAAGTAGTGTTTGTTCTTGGGCGAAGTACTGGTGGGACCAGGTCTAGGTGCCTTCTCTGTGCCCTGCAAGCAGGAGTGATTTTTCAGGATGGAGGATAATCTGCTGTTCTCTTTGCAGTGTTAGTGCAAGGGCAGGGTGCTAGTGGAGGCAGCACTGGCTGGCTCTGTACCCACCAAGGCTCTATCTGCAATGGTTGTCAGCAGGGGAGGGGTGCGGACCGCACTCTCACATGCTGGTGGGGTAAGGAAAGCAAAACCTGCCTACATAGACATGTACCAGCAAAGTGATGTGGAGAGTTGCTGTGGGACTGGGGGAAGCTGCAGTATGGGGAGGGAGTGGGCAGCCTGGTGCGTGGCCACGGGGGCTGCCCTGCTGGAGTTTTCCACTGGTCAGGCATGCTCTGCCAGTACAGAAGCTATGGTGCAGGCCCCCAGGGCACCCAAGACTGCCCTGTAAGCTGGTATGGCCAGACTGGGGCCACAGGAGAGGCCTGCAAACTAAGGGGTACTCAGGTGGGACTGGCCTCATATGATAGGCAAGACTGCCCTGCAGGGTTCAGGACTGACAGTTCTCTAGGGCTAAAATATCCTATGGGAACAAGTCAAGCCTAGGGGTATGGCTGTCCCTGGCTGTGCCCCACTATAGATGGTCCTGAACCAAACCCTGTGGGCTCCACATCAGCGGGCTCGCTGCCCCCTACCACTTCTCTGAGTAGCTCTCCTTCTCAACTCCATTGCTCATGATGGTTAAGGTGTCTCCTTCTGCCAGAGTTCCAGAGGTCTGTAGCTAGAGCTGACTGCTACTTGCCAGTTCAACTCACCCATTCCCCCAAAGCCATGGGGTGCTGGGTATGAGTCCGAGTGTGCAGTAGCCCCATGCAGGGTTCCCTGATTTCCTCTTCAGCCCAGCTTCTGTGCCTCTCCTTCATCCACTCTCGGTGCCTTTCCTCTCAAGATCTTTTAGGAGCATGCCAGTTATCTCACTCCCTCAGTGAGAACTGTTCCACCTGGCTACATCTAGTTGGCCATCTTGCCCTCCCTCCATCCTGAGTCTTGATGAACAAGAGATGGTTACCAAGTAAGTTACCTTGAATGTCAGTTGGTTCATGTAAGAGTTGCTGTTGGAAAAAAAAATTTAAAGCAGTCATTTGTAGCTTTGTATGCAAATTCAGTGAAGGTTTGTTCCATCACATTTTCTCCCTCCGTATACCTGCAACAAAAAAAATGTATTCTGCTGCCCTGGGGTAGTGCAAGATTGAACGAGAAGCATACTTCAGAAGTCAGTGCCAGAAAAAAAGCAACTGAATATTGGACTCTGTCAAAAATCCAAGAGGAGGGTATGTTCAGGGCTGTTGCCGGAAGCTGCCACAAAGTAGGTGGAGAAGAGACACTATCAAGACCAATTTGAAAACAGGGATTTTTGCATTGGTGTTTGAAGAGAAAGGACAAAGTAATAAGAGTAGACATTTTGGAAACCATCCCCCAAATGATCCCACTGTCCAGATGCAGTCAGCTCAGTCTTGATGGATTCTCTCTAGTTCAGTGACATTTTGAGCATACCAGTTATGCTTTCCTGTGCTGCTGCTCCAAGACTCTGCTGCCCAGCTGTCAACATGTACTATTTAGCAGTCACCAAGTTCTTGTTTTACAAAATGAAAAATGGAACCTGTTTTGGGCCACTCTTAGGGTTCCAGAAATTGTATTTATACAGGTAGTGAGCATGCAGTTAACATGTGAAAAATCAATCAGTCTTTGTACCTTGTCAGAGTTGGGCTATGAGTTATGAAGGGAATACTGGGACACATTTTCTCCCGAGTTCCTCTGTAAATCAGTTCCACACTTAGACATTGCTGTGGTTTGAATGTGTCATGCAAAGCTGATGTGTTGGATCCTTAATCCCCAATGCAGCAGTGTTGAGGCAGGACTTTTAAGAGGTGCTTAGGTCATGAAGGCTCTGGCCTTATAAGTGGATTAATACCCTGTTCACTGCACTGGGTTACTGAGCGCCAGAGTGTGTTCCCGGTAAAAGGATGAGTTCAGCTTCCTTCCCCTCTTGGGCTCACCCTTTCTTGCCCTTCCACCTTCCAGCATGCAATGACTCAGCAAGAGGGCTTTCAGCAGATGTGGGACCCTTAACCCTGGATTTCTCAGTCTCCAGAACTGTAAAAAATAAATTCGTTTTCTCTATAAGTTACCCAGTCTATGATATTTGGTTATAGCAACACAAAATGGACTAAGATATATACATAAACTTTTTCTCCTTTGAACGTGACTGTAAATACATTTGTCATAATACAGCGGAAGTAGGATGGCCTTGGAGCAAGAGCACCGCATGCAAATTCTAGAATTGCCACTTACTCAATATATATTCTTAACCAAATCACTTAACCCCTTTTACTCTTAGTTTCCTCATCCGAAAAATGATTCCTCATCTGAAAAATGGGATGATTACATAATAAACTGATTCTTAAGAGGACTATTATTAATTTATTAATATTATTAAATACTAATTAAAAAATGCCAAATATTATTCTTGGTTCACAGTAAGGACCCAATAACTAGAGATTGATATTATTTTTACTATTAAACCTCAAGTATCAGTAAAACCTAGACTGAAGGAAGAAGCCTCAATCTCTTGCTTTAAATTGGAGTTGAACATTTCTTTTTTCTCTTCTCTCTCCCTCCCTCTCTTCCTTTATTCCTTCTTTCCTTCCTTCCCTCCCTCTTTCCTTCCTTCCTTTCCTCCCTCCCTTCCTTTCCTTCCCTCATTACTTCATTTTATCCTTTCTCCCTCTCTCTATGCCAAGTTTTAAAGAAAAGAGTAGACTCTGATTGTTTTGACGATTGTAGCGTTACCAAAAATAATGTGCTAAATTAAATATTATGAAGAATGAACTGAAGCAGAAAAAGACTACAGACAATGAGACTCATTAAGAGTCTATAATTATCACCATTATCAGTGGAATTTCCTAATATGGTTGATGACTCTTTTATCTAACTGGTCTTCACAGCTAGATGCCTTAGTGTCATGAGTCATCATAAACTTAATCCCTTTTTCTACTCCAACCATCTAGGTATTTATTGAGTCCTGACCATTTAACTTCTTTTTTTTCTTATTTTGAGACAGACTCTCACTCACCGAAGTTGGAATACTGTGGCGTGACCATAGTTCACTGCAGCCTCAACATCCCAGGATCAAGCTATCCTCCCACCTCAACCTCCTGAGTAGTTGGGACCACAGGTGTGTGCACTGCCACACCTGGCTAATTTTATTATCTTTTGTAGAGATGGAGTCTCACTATGTTGCCCAGGCTGATCTCAAATTCCCGGACTCAAGTGATGCTACCACCTCAGCCCCTTCAAAGCTCTGAGATTATAGGAGTGAGCCACTGTGCTTAGCCCCTTTAACTTCTTAAATGTCTCTGAAGTCTCTCCCGTTATCTCCATCCCATTGACCTTGTGCACCCCTTGCATGAAGTCCTGTAAGAGCTTCCTAAGTATCTCCTGCTGCTTGTCTCAACTCCTCTCATCCAGTTTGTACACTGTAGTCAAAGTGATTTTTAGGAAGGAAAAACATAACCAGGGCCATTCTCTGTTAACTTGTTGACTCCTATTGCCTTCAGAATTAAGGACAAATTGTAACCTGGCATAGAAATCCCTTTGTGACGGACCTTGTATGTCTCCACAGTTTGGTCTAATATCTTGCCATGCACTGCTTATGCTCACAGTTGCTGTCCTCACATTCCTGCTCTTCACCTTACATTCTGTGTTCATGCCAACATTGGCATGTCTCCCTGATTAGAATATGCCTTCTTCCCTCAGTGCTTCATTATTACTTTTTGGTGAAGGCCTGTCTCCTTTGTGACTGCTCTCTTATGTAGAGATAGGGAGGACTTCCTCTGTGTTCCCTCAGAATCTTATATATCACTTCATCATGACATTAATTGTGCTGTATCTCAGTACACGCACGTATTAGTTCAAAGGGCAGAAATAGAGACCGAATAGCTGTGTAACCTTCATTTGTCTCTTAAATTAGATAATACTTAAGTAAAACAATTCAGAAACAGAAAGTCAAATACTGCATGTTCACACTTATAAGCAGAAGATAAATAGTTTGTATGCATGGACATAAAGTGTGGAATAATAGACCCTGGAAACTTAGAAGGGTGGGAGGGGAATGAGGTATGAAAAGTTACTCAACAGATACAATGTACACTATTTGGAAGACGGTTACACTAAAAGCCCAGACATCACCAGTACTCCATACATCCATGTAGCGAAATTGCACTTGTACTCCCTTAAATTTATATAAATTTTAAAAATATTGAGATAATACTGTCTATTTCCTAGGGTTATTGTGAGGACTAGAGTAAATACACAGTAAATGCTTAAAATGACTGATGATGGTTTAAAAAAAAAGTTTAGTAATATGGCCTCTAGTTCCTTTAATTCCAGTATAGGTATGACCTACTGTTGGTGTCCAAGATTTTCATCCCAACTGATAAATCATTCTTCACCAGCCCTCACTTAAGTCTAAATGAGATCAAGGATCAGCTTCAATGACTCCTCTCTTCCAAGAGGTCCCTAATCACAGCAGGAAGATCTCTGTCCCTCCTCTAGCATCAGAAGCAGTTTGTCCCTGTTGCTCTCTCTCTCCTATATTTTGATCCCTAAATTGAAGTCATACCATACAAGTTTCATTTCATCACAAAAACGTGTGTTCCCAAGGGTCCATCCTGGACTGGTCGTCTGTGCCTAACTCCTTTCCTCAACATCCAGAGCAAGGCCCAAGCATAGACTCGGGGCTCTGGCTTCCCTCTTTTCTGGTTTCCTTTGAATATTGGCAATATAGAGGGCCATGAACACTGAGAAGTCACAGTGGCTCCGATATATAAAACTGCCTTGGCATGAGGATCCAGGGTTTCATTTCTCTGCTTTGGGATAGAGATAATGGGAGTCACTGATTCCAAAACCATTCACTGTTGTGGTCTGGGAACTGAGGATGTCACGAATACCTGAAGAAGAAAGTGTTTCAGAAAGCAGCAGAGGAAAAAAAAAAAGTTTGAAATCAGCATGGCCTGAATTCCCATTGGCAACAGCAGAAAAGAAACTTGCCCCAGAGGCAGAGGGTCCAAGAAAAGCTGACAAGACTGGTAATTGGTAGAGCCGTGCTTCTTCCCTTTATTTGGATCTTGAAAGATGGGTTGGGTTCTGGCAGGCAGAAATGTCCCCTTGCAACTCCATTTTGATGTAGCACCTATTTACTTTTCCTGCCTCTATTTCTGTCTCTTTGACTCCATTCTTATTGCATAGTTCTCCAGAGCAATGAGCTGGGGAGTGAAGGACCCTTAAAGACATGGTTTGGATGATGCTTTGCACTTAGCAAACTATTATTCAACCTTCATCATCGTGGCATCTTTATGTTTCCTGATCTGCCCTCCAAATGCTCAGCAAATGAGTAACCAATGCGTTCATGCTTTAATGATTTTTAAAACTCTTTAAAGATTTTGCAAGTGGTAACTTTTTAAACTAACAACTAATATTACAATCGTAAGTATTTTCCCCCTCTGAAAACTGAGCTGAAATAGATAGGAAGGTAAATGGGAAAGTTGCTAAATCATTCAGGTTTTATTAAGCAGTCAGCATCCTAATCCCGAGGATTATTCATGTATTTAGCAACATCCTCTGTGCGTGAGACTGTGTATGAACATTTAGATAAATGTAGAAGGAAGTGAATACATGTGCATCAACAAGGTAGGCCTTGACTTCTTATAAGTTCTGCAGTGTTTAAATAATCCTTTATGTAAGAAGACAGGAATGTAAGAATGAAAAATTGCTTTAACCTCTAAAATAAGCACTTACTAGAAAGAATGTGCTTCTTCCTCTCCAAATTTTAAAACTTGGCCATGGCCACATTCTGAAATATCTGCTTTTGAAATGATATAACGTAGCTGAAAGTAAATTATAATTTGCTATCTTAATAAGGTAAGGTTACACCAGATTTTCTCCCTCCACTTTTTTTTTCCTTGTTTTTTCCTTCCTTTTCATTTTCTTTCCTTCCATCTCTCCCTGGCTCTTTCCCTCTTTATCTAAAAAATTTAATTTTGAGCACTATATTAGTTTAGGGCTGCTATAACAAAATACCACTGACTGAATGGCTTAAATAGCAGAAACTTATTTTCTTACAGTTTTGAAGGCTAGAAGTTCAAGATGGAGGTGCTGGCAGGTTTGGTTGCTTTTGAGACCTCTCTGTTTTAGAGAAAGAGTGGGCGGATGGCTGCTGTCACGCTGCATCCTCACACGGTCTTTCTTTCTTTGAGCATGCATCCCTGGCATCTTTGGATGCCCTAATCTCCTCTTTTTATAAGGATACTAGTTTTACTGGATTAGGGCTCACCTTGAAGCCTCATTTTAACTTAATCATCTTCCCAAATACAGTCAGGTTCTAACATACTAGGGGTTACAGCTTCAACATATGAATTCTGGAAGGACACAATTCCGTGCATAACAAACACCTAGACAACGTCCACAATTTAAAAGGTCATATACTTTTCTTTCTTGTTGCTTCTCTGTTTTTCTTCTCTCGCCAATTTTCCAGGAGTTTCTTCCTCTCAGAATCTTTTGATCATTTAAGATCTTCCCAAGTAACTTTTTAGTCTTTCTTCTCTGCCTTATACACAAACTACAGATTTATCACACTTGTTTTTATTACCTAGTGCCTGGGGATATTTACTCTAAATAGGTTTGAATGAACGATTTCTAATAACCGCAACCATAATTTGACCTATTACCATCACCAGTACTATTGCTATACTGCCACTACTATAACTATTACTACCACCCCCGCTTCTGCTTCTCCTTCTCCCCTCTCTCCTCCTATAATGATAATATATCCTAGAGATGTCAGACTCATACATGTAAAACATCTAGTATTATCTGGATATGGTAGCCAAAATTGCTAGTGCATTTCCTGTAAAATGAGTGAAATAAACAAAAATCTGGAGACAATTATCTCCCTCTCTTTTCTTATTCCTCTTTTGGTTTGGACTTCTTTGGCTTAAGAAAAAGGTTATTTATTATACTTTGGTTTCTAGGCCCGTGGGAGGCTTTGTCCAGTCCAGAGATGCTAAGCTATTTTCAAGAGCCCTGCCCCTTTTCCTTCTCCAGACCTCTCCAGGACAATTACTAGCTGCATTCAGAAGAACAGGGGCACATTCCACTGGCTAGTGAGCTCAGGCACTTGTGACCCTGGTGGCCTTGATTGACTTGGCAAGGAGTTAGCCGCCCCACCAGCAGCCTCCACCACAAACCTCAGTGCTGCTGCTGCCTCCATTCTCCTTTTTCATTAACTGTCTCCTTACTGGTGGAACCTGGGCTGAGTCAGAATTTTTGTGTTTTAATGGATCTATCTGGATTGGAAGGAGATGATGCTTTCCAAGGAATCAAAACTGATTCTGTTCCTTAAGGAGCTTTTTAACTAGGAAGTAGGAAAAAAAAAAGCCTCAACACTGTTCTCCCTCCCTCCTTCCCTCCCATTCTCTCCCTTTCTTCCTCCCTCCCTCCTGCCTTTCCTTCCTTCCCTCCTCCCTTTCTTCCTCTCTCTCTTCCTCCTTTTCTTCCTTCCTTCCTCCTTTCCTTCCTTCCACCTGTCTTGTTTTTCCTTCCTTCTCTTTTTCTTTTCCACTTTCTCTCTCTACCTTTGTTTTTTCTCCCTCCTTCCTTTTTTATTTTTCCTACTTGTTCTTCATCTCCACTTTCCTGCTATTTCTTTGTCTTTTTGTTCTTCCTTCATTATAATTGCTTAAAGCTTAAGTTAATGAAAATATTCTAAGATATGGATTAAATATTGCCTCACACTGAAACAAAGGGAGGCTTCTACACTTACGTTTATGTTTGTTATATATGCTATGCTTATTATTCATGTATATTCATATATATATTATATATATATAATATATATATGCAGCTGAATCAATAGCAAGTGGAGTTCAGAATATCTTTCATGTTTATCCTAATCGGTTAGCATATATTTTTTTCTCTTTAATTATGCTACTTTTTAATTGATTATCTGTTCACTTAAGCTACCTGAGGACAGAGCTCATATTTCCTCAACTGACCTTTTAATATTATATATTGAATTAATGGAGTTCCTACTACAGAACCACCCTTGCCTTCTAGGAGGCTGTAGCATCAGTGTATACTAAACTGGGGAACTGCCTTTGCTTTTATTTTACTTGTGTTTTTTTTTTTCTTTTGCATAAATATGCAAGAGAAAGATCGGTCTAAAGCTTTCTGCATTTGATTTGTTTTGTTAACAGGGCAGTGCTTCTGAAACTATTTTTCTCCCCTATGGAACATTTTTCAAATTACAGAATGACTTGTCTTTAAAAATTTGAATGAATTCATCTGTCTCTGGCATTTTTCAGAGCTACAATTAGTGATAGGCCGGTAAATGTTTAATAACTGGCTGTCAGCAGGAGTGGGGAATCCCTGATTTGTTGCATGTACTGACTTCTACAGTGTAAAGATTTCCACCTTGGCTGATACCAGGCTTACTAAGAGGATGCCATGGAACTTAGAGGTGGAAAGAGATGTGCACGATCTGCTTAACAAACCAACGCCAACCAGATCTAGCACACAGATGGTTATAGATCTTTGACAACCTCTCAATTTTGTCAATTGCTTAGGTTTTCTATCTCCTATGGTGTCTATTTTAGTATTCATTAGAATACTATTTTCTTAGAAAAGTATTCATTCATCTAGATGTTCAAATATGTTAGTCCTGTGAAGTTCTTTTAAAAAATAATACTTTTATTTCCCCAGTATCTTCGATACCCACTCTCCCTGCCCTTTCCATTTCAAATGGTGTATGTTTGCATTTTCTCCCTTTATATGTATCAGGTTAACTAGAGCTTCTGGAATTTTTAATGATTTCCTTGCTTCTCTTGTCAATTTTATATTCGAGATTTACTTGTCAATGCTATTGTCTCTCTGTTTTTTAATATATTTTCTCTGCCTATCTTTTTTTATTTTCTAATGTATACAAATTTATCTTTATAAAGTAACAAGGGTAAATAATATATAATAGGTAAATGGAATGCATTATTATTATGTAAATACATTTACCCAATAAAATATTATTTACTATATACTGGTTTTAGATATCCCAGCAATCTTATTAAAAATTTGAACCCAGCTCATTAACTATGGAAAATACTCTATGCTTTTTATAATACAATCGAAACCTGCTAAGTGTCTGTGTTTCTGCAATCCTGCAGGGGTTGTTGAAAGACATTATTTATATATTTCCTTTGTTTCATCCATGCCAGTGGCTATTCCTTCTACTCACACCTGCTTGTGTCCACACTGAGTCTCCTGTGATTTCAAACTCCCTTGTTCCTAACCAATAAACTCATTGAAAACAGATTCCCTCTAATAATTCTTCTGTCTCATTTTGGGGTACCTCCAAGTCACCTCCTGGGTAACTCCAAGTACCGTAATTTCTTTATGGTCATGGCCTGAGCTGCCTGTGAAGGCTTGTATTAAGTCTCAGCCAATGAGTTACCTTTCCTTTTCTTCTATGACGCAGAAACTCTATCTAAAATTTAGATTTGTTAAAGAGCCATACTTCCTGAAGATAGTTTGAATAATTGGATTGATATGGTTTTGCTGTGTCCCCACCTAAATCTCATCTTGAATTGTAGTTTCTGTAATCCCTACATGCCATGAGAGGGACCTGGTGGGAGGTAATTGAATCATGGGGGCAGTTACCTCCATGCTGCTGTTCTCATGACAGTGAGTGAGTTCTCATGAGATCTGATGGTTTTATAGGGTGCCTTTCCCCCTTTTTCTTGGCACTCCTCCTTGCTGCCACCATGTGAAGAAGGACGTGCTTGCTTCACCTTCTACCATGATTATAAGTTTCCTGAGGCCTCCCCAGCCATGCTGAACTGTGAGTCAACTAAATTTCTTTCCTTTATATATTACCCAGTCTCAGATGTGTCTTTATTAGCAGTGTAAGAACAGACTAATACGTGGGTCAATGTCTTTCAGAATATGTGGATAATGCAGAGATTTGCATTAAGCATTTGATATTTACTCAACTTGCTTTTTTGAGCCATATGTATTAAGGACAACTTTAGATCAGCCCATAGAGGGCAGGTAGTTGACGTGGGCCATTGTTCAGAGTGGTATGAGTTTGGAGTCCATGTAAAAAGTGATTATGACAGAGGATAAAGGAGAAATAAAGGCATTTTGGTTGAGTGCCTACTGACTTCAAAGTGGATGTTCAAAAAAGCAAAATATCTTTCCCAAAGCCATATAGCTAGGCAGTAAGAGAAAAAAGATTCAAAGTATGACTCCAGAATTTGTACATTTTTACCAGACTCTACTGCCCTTTTTTGAATAATACAGTCCTAGGTAATTTGCACTCTAATTCTTCTTGCCATGAAGCATCCATGTTGTGAGTTCTATGAACATCTTGGTTTGTTTAATACACAGAATTCTTAGGAATATCTTTGAACTAAATAAGTAGCACTCAGTGACTACCATTCATGACAGTGATAGTTGTTTTGTTCTGCTTTGCTTTATTATTATTATTATCAACATTTTAATAGATATCATTTAGAAACTGTCCTACACAATCCTATGCTTTTAAATGCTTGCAGTCTCATTCACCATGAATGCATAGGTTAAGAGTCTTATTCAAGCCCTCCATCCCAAAGCATTTGATCTTATTCTACCAATGCTTCGCATGATAATTCTCTAACCTATCTCAAGACATGAATACATGCCCTGATTCTAACTTTTTATGTAATCAGAGCTGCCTTTTCTTGGATGACACACATCCTCAGCTGTATACTCAGCTGACCCCACAGCTCCCAGACGGAGCAACTGAAACCATCATGAAAGTTGCTGGACAGAGCCTCAGGACTCCTTTTGCAGTTTCATGACATTTTATTTTTCCTCAGTGAGGTAACAAATGAACAAATAAAAAAGCAAATGAACAAAGAAATAAAGAATAAATGAAGAAAGGAAGGAAAATAAAAGAATGAAAGAAATGAAAAGAGAAAGAAGGAGGGAGGGAGGGAGGGAGGGAGGAACCTAACACACATATTTTGGGAGTTACCATCCAAAATCTCCTGGGGACTCTCTTTTACTTTTTGATAACTGCTGTTTCATAATTTTACTGCTATTACTTGTAGAGCTAAATTAAATAGATACTGTCACATTTCTCCTGAATTTCAAAACAAAGTTAAGTATACAATCCCTACCTTCAGGGAACTTTCACATATTTTTTTTTACTTTGGAATGCTGCTCAGCTTTCAAAGCCTCAACCCTTAAACAAATTTTTTTTTTTTGATAATTGGATTAAGCTACCATCCTACTTCACCCAGAAACCATATTTATACTATAACATCCAGGCCTCTGCCATACTTGAGTAGACTAAGTGGTCACTTACAAAACAGGGGAAAGAGGGCAAAATTGCGTTTTATGTGTGGCTAGAAATGAAGCACATAAAACTGCATTGTGATACTTTCCCACAAAGTAGACTGCAAAGATAAGAGAAAGGTGAGTACAGAGAGAAAAAGGATAGTTAAAACATTCAGAGAAACCCAGAAGTATATCTCCTAAAGCTTTCCCATAAATGGGCTTAGACCCTTCCTGAGGTTCTCTTGCATCGTTGTCCTTGGGGTTCACTTTATCCTGCTTGTATTAGGCTAGATTGAGTAGCATCTTCTTTCTTGCAATTATTGCTGTATATACCCCACTACTGAGAGGCAGCATGGCATACTAGAATTATGACCAGCTATGCACCAAAATGCCTAGAATTGAATCCCAGCTCCAGCACTTAGTAGCTGGGTCGCTGAATAGTGCCCTCCAAATATATCCAGATCCTAACTACAGGAACATGTGAATGTTTCCTTACATGACAAAAATGTAAGGAAATGTAATTCGATGTTATTAAATTAAAAATTTCGAGGTAGGGAGTTTATTCTGGATTATCAAGGTGGCCTGAAATATGATCATTATAAGAAGGAAATGGGGAGATTTGACACAGAAGAGAAAGTAGGAGATGTGCGATAGAAGCAAGAGGCTGGAGAGACGCAAAGAAGGAGCAAAGGCCTGCAGCAGCCCCCAGAGCTGGAAGAGGCAAGGAGACTAGCTCTCTGGTTGAGTCTCCAGAAGGAACCAGCCGTGCCAGCATCTTGACTTAAGCCCATGGAAACTGACTGCAGCCTTTTTGTGTCCAGAACTAAGATAATACATTTTCATTGTTTTAAGCCACTGAGTTTATGGTAATTCATTATAGCAGCAATAGAAAACTAATACAGTAGCTTTGTAACCTTGGGCAATTTTTCTAACTATTCTGTTTTAATTTTATCATCTGTAAGGTGGAAAAATGCATGCTTCATCAGATGGCTGTGAGAGTCGATGATTTAGTCTGTTTTCTGCCATGTGGAAGGCACTAAATAAGCATTGGATTGTCCAATGCTTGTATACAACACAATTTTAGTCACACCTTTAGTTAGTAGTTGAGTCAGGACTTCTACCCAAGGTTTTTGTGACTCCAAATCTACTACAAGAAAGTTATAAAACAAAAATTAAAACACAAAACAAAACAAAAAACCTATCAATGAATATATCAAATATGATTTGAGCCCACATTTCTCAGGCTTTCCTTTAAAAGTGATCATTGAAAGAGGAAAATTTTATTCTTTTGGTTACTCTACATGAGCAAAAATTCAATTTCTATTCTGCTAAAACAGATGTAGATATCTCTGAACTCTCTCATTTATGTTTTAGCTGCTAAATTTGTACATTATTATTTTTAGCTCCCCTATTTTACTTTTTCAAATCCACTAACAGGTAATCTTTCTAAAAAGTTTTATTTTCCTCTAACTTATTCTGTAGAGATCAATTCAATTCAACAAACTTTTACAAAGCACCCATATGCTTACAGACAGCAACCCAATTATTCATGTATCCATTCATCTACCCATCTATTTGCCCACGAGCTATCAATTTAGCAGGCAAGTATCTGTGACTAGTCACTGATAGTAATATTTTTATATGCAGCAGGCCCCTAGTGCACATGACAAGTTGTAGTCTGCCATGGAGGGCTTGCAGTTGACTTTTGGAGGCATTTGCATGATCAGAACCTTCAAAGAAATGTGACAAGGACAGTAATTGAGGTTTGACCAGAGAGTGAAATAAAGTGGGGTGGAGGGGTGGCTATATCAGACAGAAAGCAGGGATTGTAAGAAAGAATTCACAGAGGAAATGTGGGGCTGAGGTTATGAGGTTTAGGGAGCATAAACTGGAAAGAAAAAAGCCTTAAATAAAAGCTTTAGAAACGTTAAAAGGAAAATATGATATGGATAGATGATATGGATAGATTAGACATGGTATTTGATAACATATAGTCAAAGAAAATGTCTTTTCTCCTCCCAGGCAAGAATATAGATTGTCATTTGATTGTCTGATGGAAATAATTTAGAAGAACATACTAGGATATGCTATTTATCAGAGCAGACAGCTTTTTGAGATCTGATGCATGCATTCTGACTTTTTTTTTCTCTTTCTTTTGTCTGAAACATTACTGACAGTTACTGCTATAGTCCAGCACTCTCGAAGTTGACATATGCTGAGTGACAGATCTAAGATAAGAGTAAAATACATTTGAATGTGCTGATAAAAGAAAAATGGGAAAGGGATGAAATTACAGATATATAAAGGTGTATCTTTAAAGCTCTTAGGGGGACAAATTGCTAATCAGGAATTGAACTATATAGAGGCTTGATAAGTTCTAATGCAGAAACCCTTCTGGGAAGAAAACTCTTTCTAGTGTATAGTGGTTTAATAAGAAGTCAAATAAAATCCATTTGAAAGTGCTGGTTCCATTTGGTATGAAGGAGAATTTTCAAGAGATTTTCAAACGTCTGAATGAACAGTAATAAACCCAACAGGGCCAAGGTGGGGTGTCCAGTTGGACAAGTGGCATAAAAGCTATCTTTGGAAACTCATCATCCACAATAGCACATTCTGTTCCCATTAATTTCTGACAAATGGAAGCTATCTGCAAGGAAATTACACTGACATGAATCAAGTCAATCATAGTGTGCATTTACCTGTAACCTAAAATTCTAATAGGTACTATCACTTTACAGTGATTGAAACACACTTACACACACATGTGAGCACACACACTCACACCCCACACATGAATATTTATAAAGCATACGCAACTTCAATTCTTATTTTATCATCAACTTCCCAAGTAATATTAATTTATTCTAATAAAATTAATTTATTCAATTATTTAATTTTTTTAGAAGCCATAGTAACCACCACATATAGTACCTGTTGGGCCTAAATATTGTCCCATTCTCCAGAATTATTAGACTCTTAGTGTATAGGAATGATAACTTGCTAAGAATTTGTTTCTGCATTCCTGGCCTTAGCTGATTGATTCTGGGGTATATGCCTGACCTTAGCTAGGCCAGCAAGAGGGTCTCTACTTGGAAGTGGGAGAATGGTAGCGGAAGACCCAGAGGAGAAGCTCATTCAAGCATTCATGTTGCTCAAAATGCCTGTTTCAGAATCCTGGAACCCCAACCCTTTGATGGCTCACTCTGCAGAATAGTCTGCAAATTTAACAATTTGCTAGAAATGGAAACTACAGTTGCCCTTGCACTTCTAAAGGTAGCAACACATCCCCACTGAGTGCTAAAGGTAGCACTCAGACTGCTCCATAAAGATAATTAAAAAAAAAAAAAAAAAAACTTTTGGTAGAAAGCTTACATCATTTTCCTTGCATCAAAACTGCATTTCCACATCTTTTACCAGCTTCAGAATTTATCTGCCACATGTTCCATTCTTGAAGCCCTATAATAGAGTAAACACTGTGGTATCATAAGAACTATATTTGGTCTTTCTTCTCAGGTCCTGGCACTGAGAGGTTAAAATCCTTGGAATTTCCTGATAGGAGTGTATTGTTGTTATTCATAAAGAGCCTCTTTTTAATCACTCCTGGGATTATGCTAATGAGGTGACTTAGGGTGGGGCACCTAAATAGTCTCAGGATGGGGGCTGGGCACTTAAAAGACTAAGGATATGATTAGAAGGTAGGAAGTTTTAGCCCTGCACCCTTACTTCTGGGAGCAGAATGGGTCTGGAGATAGGGTTGTATAAACCCCTGACCAAAGATGTTTGGAGAGCATTCAGGTTGGTGAACACATAGAGTACTGGGAGGGTGGTGCACCCAGGGATGGCATGGAAATTGTGCAGCCCCTCACACCCATAGCTCACCCCATGCATCCCTTTCATTTGGCTACTGCTGAGTTGTATCCTTTATCATAAACCAGTACTTGTAAGTAAAGTGTTACACTAAGTTATGTGAGCCCTCTAGCAAATATGGAAACTGAAGAGGGGTTTGTGGAAACTTCTGATTTATATCTGGCTGGTCAGCAATACAGGTGGCCTGGGACTTGTGACTAGTGTCCAAAGTGGGGACAGGCTTGTGGAATGGAGCTGTTTAATTTGTGGAATTGGTTACTTCAGGGAGACAGTCTCAGAATTGAATTGAATATTGAACACCTAGTTGGTGTTTGAGAATTGGAGAGTTGAGTGGTATCAGCGAAAACAGCCCAGAAACACTGATACAAGGTAAAGAGTTGATCGATTTGGATTGTGGTAAAGCTAATGTTTTTTTCTGGTGATAAAAATTCTTGAAAATTTGCTAAATACCTTTCATTGCTTGTGTAGGTTTGGTCCTCATAACTAGCTATCTCTGAGGTATAATATCCTCATTACACCATTGAGGATACTGAGTCTCAAAAAGTAAGAAGTATAGAAGTGAGGCAGCATAGGTTGTCAAGGAAGCGACGACATCCTTGGGACACAGCAACAGTGCTGACCATACAATCAACTCAATAAGCCTCAGCATTTGCAGTGTTGTTAAGTTCATTCAAACAAAGCTATCTTCAGTAGGGAATTTCCCCCATAAACAGCATGCACACTTTCCTTTCACCTGTCCTCAAACTGACCCTTTGCTCATTTTAATAGTAAAAAACACGCTCCTGGGTGGATGTTACAGGCCGAAAGAGTGAGAGTCATGATCAAGTCAGTATACCACTGGAGGCTATATGAGCAAACAGCAAACTGTTCTCATAAAAGCAGAATGTTGGCAGACAGACAAACTGCATCTGCCACCCAGAAGGAATGCTGAGGGCATTCATGCCCCAAGTTCAGTGTTGCTTGTGATCAGGTAAATCTGAAGCCTGTTAGTAATAATATGAACCTGTGATTAATTAAGCAGCTGACCAGTCATTACCTCCTCCCCCCTGCTGTTGTTACCCAATAAATAGGAAGGGCTGTGGAAGCTCAGTGGCTGCCTTTGCTCACTAGAAGCAGGGAGCTCTCTTCTTCCCCGGTTCCCCTTCCTTTAAAAGAGTTTCTTTTGTCTTAAGTTTTCATTTCTGCATTCATCCCTTCTTTCAGTCTCATGATGATGGTCTCAAGTAGTAACAGTAGTAACTGTCATAGTGAGGGTCTCAAGTAGTAATTGTACAAGTCTGTCACAGGTGGAGATTTAAGATGCAAATGAGACATATGACATATGAACAAGCATGTGCAGTTACTGTGCAGGTGCACCCAGAAGACCACCCAGAACATGCTTACGAGGAATGCCTCTTCCCGCCCCCTAATGAATAATTATTTAAGACTCCCATAAAGGGAGTCTCCCTAGTGCCAGTCTTGGCTGTCTCGTACTTAAGCCCACCCTGAATCCTCTTTCTAAGGGTGCGCTATCTATTCTGCACTTAACTTTCAAAGTATTCTTTCTCTTTTGCAATAAATTATGTTGCATCTCCTTTCTTGTGTGTCTCTCATTCGAATTCTTTTAAACTAAGAAGACATGAATCAAGGTGTTACAATGACCGTCAATAGAAGGACAACCTACCACTATGCCAGGAACACTGTAACTGTTCCAGTTGCTGAGGTTACTTAAAAATACGGGCATACCTCATTTTATTATGTCTCATTTTATTGTTCTTCACAGCTAATGCGTTTTTTACAAATTGGCTTGTGGCAACTTTCATGCGCGTCCCTGTGAAGAGACCACCAAACAGGCTTTGTGTGAGCAATAAAAGCTTTTAATCACCTGGGTGCAGGCAGGCTGAGTCCGAAAAAAGAGTCAGCAAAGGGTGGTGGATTATCATTAGTTCTTATAGGTTTTGGGATAGGCGGTGAAGTTAAGAGCAATGTTTTGTGGGCAGGGGTGGATCTCACAAAGTACACTCTCAAGGGTGGGGAGAATTACAAAGAACCTTCTTAAGGGTGGGGGAGATTACGAAGTACACTGATCAGTTAGCATGGGGCAGGAAAAAATCACAATGGTGGAATGTCATCAGTTAAGGCTATTTTTACTTCTTTTGTGGATCTTCAGTTACTTCAGGCCATCTGGATGTATACGTGCAAGTCACAGGGGATGGGATAGCTTGGCTTGGGCTCAGAGGCCTGACAGCAACCCTGCATCAAGCAAGTCTGTCAGTGCCATTTTTTCAACAGTATGCACCCACTTTCTGTCTCTTTGTCACATTTTGGTAACACTAGCAACATTTCAAACTTTTTCATGATAATTATATTTATTATAGTGATCTGTGATCAGTGATCATGATCTTGATGTTACTATTGTCATTGTTTTTCGGCACCACAAACCACACCAATATAAGATGGCTAACTTAATAAATGTGTGTGTTTGGACTGTTCCACCGACAAGCCATTCCCTCATCTCTCCCTCTCCATAGGCCTCCCTATTCTCTGAGGCACAACAATTGAAATTAGGACAATTAATAACCCTACAACAATTTCTAAGTGTTCATGTGAAAGGAGGAGTCTTTTGTCTTTCATGTTAAATTAAAAGCTAGAAATGATTATGCTTACTGAGGAAGGTAGGTTGAAAGCTGAGATAGGCTGAAAGCCAAGCCACTCATGAAAGTTAGCAAAGTTGTGACTGTAAAGGAAAAGTTCTTAAAGGAAATTAAAAATGCTACTCCATTGAACACACAGATGACAGAAAGCAAAATAATCTTATTGCTGATATGGAGAAAGTTTTAGTGGTCTGAATAAAAGATCAGGCCAGCCATAGCATTCCTTTAAGCTAAAGCCTAATCCAGGGCAAGGCCTTAACTCTCTTCAAGTCTGTGAAGGCTGAGAGAAGTGACAATGCTGCAGAAGAAAAGTTTGAAGTTAGCAGAGGTTGTTTCACTAGGTTTAAGAAAAAAAGCCATTTCCATAACCTAAAAGTGCAAGGTGAAACAGCAAGTCCTGATAAAGAAGCTGTAAGTTATCCAGAAGATCTAGCTAAGATCTAGATACGATTGGTAAAGATGATGACATTAAACAACAAATTTTCATCTAGGCCATGTAGAACTTTTATAGCTAGAGAGGAAAAGTCAATGTCTGGCTTCAAAGGATAGGCTGACCCTCTTGTTAGGAGTTAATGAAGCTGGTGGCTTAAATGTGAAGCCAATGCTCAACCTACCATTCTGAAAATTTTGGGATATGTAAGAATTATGCTAGATATGATCTACCTGTGCTCTATGAATAAACAACAAAGCCTGGAAGACGGAACATCTGTTTACAGCATAATTTACTGAATATTTGGTACCCCCTGTTTCACATACAGCTTAGAAAGACTGCTTTCAAAATGTTACTTCTCATTGACAATGCACCTCATCCCCCAAGAGTTCTGATGGAGATGTACAAGGAGATTAATGTTGTTTTCATGCCTACTAACACAATATTCAATCTTCAGCCCATGGATCAAAGAGTAATTTTAACTTTCAAGTCTTATTATTTAAGAAATACATTTAATAAGGCTATAGCTGCCATAAATTGTGATTCTTCTAATAGATCTGGGCAAAGTCAATTGAAAATCTTCTGGAAAGGATTTACCATTTTAGATGCCATTAAGAACATTGGTGATTCACAGGAGAAAGTCAAAATATCAACATTGATAGAAGTTTGGAAGAAGTTGATTCCAACCTTCATGGATGGGTGTAAGGGGTTCAAGATGTCAGTGGAGGAAGTAACTCCAGATGTGGTAGAAATAGCAAGATAACTAGAATTAGAAGTGAAGGCTGAGAATGGAACTGAATTGCTGAAATCGCATAATAAAACTTTAAAGAATAAGGAGTTGCTTTATATGGGTGAGCACAGAAAGTGGCTTCTTGAGATAGACTTTACTGTTGGTGAGGATGCTGTGAACACTGTTGAAATGACAACAAAGTAGACTATTACATAACTTAGTTGCTAAAGCCACAGTAGGGCTGGGGAGGATTGACTCTGATTTTGAAAGTTCTATCATAGATAAAATGCTATCAAACAGCATTGCATTCTACAGAGAAATCTTTAGTGAAAGGAGTCACTTGATGTGGCAAATTTCATTGTCTTATTTTTAAAAATTGCCATAGCCACCTCAACCTTCAGCAACCACCATCTTGATGGGTCAGCTGCCATCAACAGCGAGGCAAGACCCTCCACCAGCAAAATGATTATGACTCGCTGAAGGCTCAGGTGATTGTTAGTATTTTTAGAAATATTTTAAAATTAAGGTATATCTATTTTTTAACATAAAGCTATTGCACACTTAATAGACTATAGTGTAGTGTAAACATAAATTGTATATGCACTGGGAAACAAAAAATTTGTATGATTCTACTTATTGCAATATTCACTTTATTACAATAGTCTTTAATAAAACCTATCATATCTCTAAGATATATCTACATATGTGTATGTTTGTGTATGGATATGACACATTTTTATTATACATATATCATATGACATATTCTCTCGGTTTTTATAAATTTTATTATCTTTGCAAAATATTATTTTGTTATTATTTTATAGTGTACCGAAGTTGTTTCTACCCATTACCTTGCATGATTTTCTCCATACCCTCCCCCATCCTCACACACATGCATTAGGCAGTAATTAAGATTATTTTTGCTGTACTTAATAGATAAGAAACTAGAGCTTGGAAAATACAGTTGACTCTCAAAATTACATAATTGAAAGGGCTGGAGTTGAAACTTGCATTTGGAACTTCTTTTTCTCAAGCGTGGTCCTTCCTCTGACATAATCTATCTATTTTCTCCTAGATCATCTGTTCTCTATATCACAATCTATTATGGGAATATGACTTGAACAGAGTGACTGTTAATGACATAATGAACATGTACATTAAGAGAGGTTTGGAAGAGAGTCTTTTCTTGCTAGAAAGAGTATAGATCTGGAGCCAGGATGCTGGACTAGTTAAGGGCCGCTGGTTGTGGAGTCAGATGGACTGGGATTAAATCTTGACTCGTCCACCAACTATCAACTTGAGTAAGTTTATTATCTTCTTTAAATCTTAGTTTCCTTATCAAGAAAATCATAATAGTTATAACTTGCAGGACTGCTGCAGTGATTAAATCATGTTATGAATGTGAAGCATTTACGACACTGCTGAATACAAGAGTTCCTACTACTTCTTAGCCATAATTATTATATTTTGATTATACTGGAATTAATATGGAAAGCATGACCAGGTAATAATAGCCTTTGAATTCAGCTTGAAGGCAAATAGAATTTGTACATATATAATAATGGTAATATCTACCATTTACTAAGTGTTAATTAAGTGTGAGCATGTTAATACACTATCATATTTAATCCCCAAAACAATTATTTGATTAACTCACAACAGTAAGTAAGTTATTGTTCCATCTTAAAGGTTAGAAATTTGAAGTTCAGAGATATTAAATAATTTTTCTAAGGAAAAGAAAATGATTCAATTTAACTGGAGGTTGAAAGTATTAAAATATTATTGATTCTTCCAATAATATATACACCTTAACTAGGGATCTCAGGAAATATAAGATATTAATCCAAAGAAATATGTTTTTAATGATGGAATTTATGACTCCTAAAAGATTGTGAAGAAGAAATATGAAGG
Source organism: Homo sapiens (assembly GCF_000001405.40). Taxonomy (NCBI): domain Eukaryota; kingdom Metazoa; phylum Chordata; class Mammalia; order Primates; family Hominidae; genus Homo; species Homo sapiens. The sequence goes on from NC_000011.10 coordinate 80,202,194, forward strand.
TGGGTATGAGGAATATGGCTGAAATGTTTATTCATTCATTCATTCCACATGTTACTAAACTTCCTATTATGCACCAGATTTCATAGGTTTTCCACACCAGTTTAGAGTATTAAGACTTATTCTCTTTTTTCCCCTATTTATTTTAAATAATTTCAAATGTAAGCAAATGTTACAAAAATAGTACATATTCTTTTCATCTAGATCAATCTAACATTTCACTGCATTTGTTTTCTCTCTCTCCCTCTGTGTACATACATGCATATAGATGTATATACAAACATTTCTTTTTTGGCTGAGCCATTTTATAGTTAGTTACAAGTATGGACACACTCTACCTCTAAATACTTCTGCACATATTTTCTTAGAACAATAAGGGACTACATAACCACAATAAAATGATCACATTTAGGAAATTAATCATCAATGACATTTTGTTATCTAATGTACTTTCAATATTCAAATTTACCCAGTTGTCTCAATAATATTAAAGCTTTTTTCCTAGTCCTAGATCTAATCAAGAAGTACATTGCAGTTAGTCATCATATCTCTTTAATTCAGAAAAGTCAACCAAGCCCTTTTTTTTTAACTCTTAAGACATTGATAGTTTTGAAGAGTCCACGTGATTTATTTTGCATAATATCCCACAATTTGACTTGCTTGCTTTCTCATTGTTTTTTTAATTTTCATTTCTGAACATTACATAGGTGATATTTTCTCCTCATTGCATCACATTGGAAGTTCATGGCATCAACTTGTTTGATCTCTTTATCTATAAGGAAGAGAATGAACTTTTTTGGGGGGGAGGCGGGGCAGATTCTTGCTCTGTCACCCAGGCTACAGTGCAGTGGTGCAATCATAGCTCACTGCAAGCTTGAACTCCTGCACTCAAGTGATCCCCCTGCCTCAGCCTCCCAAGTTGCTGGAACTTCTAGTTTGTGCCACCATGCCTAGCTAATGTATTTAACTTTTTTTTTTTTTTTTTTTTTTTTTAGTCAAAATGAAGTCTTAGTATGTTGTCCAGGCTGGTCTTGAACTTCTGGCCTTAAGTGATCCTCCTGCCTTGGCCTCCCAAAGTGTGGGATTACAGGCATGAGCCACTGTGTCTGGCTGAAATTGGAATTCTAAAGAATCAAATTTTGCCCCAATTTGCTGTGCTGCCTGTGCTTGGAATAAACATTTTGCAGCCATACAGAAATCAGAAGGTAGGTATATTGATGATTCTATTCTTCATTTATGTAACTGAAATTATGTTCATTCAATCATTCATTCATGAATGGATGGCTCCTTCATGAAACAGTTTCTGTTCATGATGGTGAAAAATTATTTTTTATAAGTTAAGGATTTTTACATACAAGGCTGGTATTTATATGGGAAGTCTGACTTACTACTCAAGCATAGTATTCCCAAAGTAGGGTGGGGGGACATCTTTGAAAATTAAAAATCATAAATTTAGGATGAAAAGAAGGAAATTTTGCTTTCTGTAGCAGCCATAAAGTTTATTACTTTACTTGAGTGACTGTGGATCAAGTTACATAACTTTTCCAGTCCGGGTTGACTTATTTCAAAATGAAAGGGATAGATAGGTGATTTCTAAGGTCTCTTTCCTTTTGACATTCTGTTTCTGTCTAAATTTGTTAATATTTTAAAATATAATTTCAATGAATTCATTGAAGACAAATGTATAAGAGGTTATTAGGCAAAACTAGCATTCTTGGAAACTTCCCCAATGTCTTAAGCAGACATCACAGAAAAATCACAATAGGCTCAACGGTACCACTAATTCTTACCTGCTTCTGTTTATTTCGCAGTCTACTATGGATCTTTATGATTCAAATGCCTGACTCATTTTTCTAGAAATGGTTACAGTTTATCCTTCTTTTCATGACTTTATCAACTTATTCTTTGCCTTTTGATCCCTACCATGTTTCACATTTGCTCTTTGACTTTGCTGTTGTTGGCTGACAAAGTTAAACATTTCACTACATCATTCTGGCCCAGAGTCATACAGGACCTCAGAAGTGGTGGTTTTTCTTGGCAATAGCATGAGTTCTAGGCCACAAAAGCAGTCTGATCTAATAAGTCAATCTGTATATTCTTAATTGTTAAACTCAGAGAGGTAAAAACACATTACCCTTTTCAGTCCTACCATCACATTCCACATAATTCATTTCCACTTCATGGTGTATTTGTGGGGAAAGTGAAAGTAGAAGCAACCAAAAGGTTGCTCAAAAAGAGAGAAAAATATAGAGGGATATTGATAATTTAAAATATCACTGGATTAGAGAACAGATTATAGATCCATTTTCTGAATGTGTTTAACTGATGAGGTTTATTCATTCACTTAGTCATTCATGATTCTATAATACTATAAGGATAATGGCAAAGGAAACAGATTCTCTAGCTTGTCTGCTTAAGTTTATATCAGAGCTCTGCTACTTGCCAACAAGGTAAGTCATTTAAACTCTATGTGCTTCAGTTTCTTTTTCTTTTCTTTCTTTCTTTATTTTTTTTGAGATGGAGTCTTGCTCTGTTGCCCAGGCTGGAGTACAGCAGTAGCATGATCTCAGCTCACTGCAAGCTCCATCTCCCAGGTTCAAGCGATTCTTCTGCCTCAGCCTCCCCAGCAACTGGGACTACAGGCATGCATCACCATGCCCAGCTAATTTTTGTACTTTTGGTAGAGGCGGGGTTTCACCATGTTGGCCAGACTGGTCTCGAACTCCTGACCTCATGATCCACCTGCCTCGGCCTCCCAAAGTGCTGGGATTACAGCTGTGAACTGAGCCCAGCACTTCAGTCTGTTTATTTAGAAAAATGAGAAAAATAATAGCAGCTATTTCAAGGTATTGATAGTAATTAATCAGTTAATGTATGTGAAATCATTTAAAACATTGCTTAGCACATAGTAAGTGCTACATAGATATTAGCTATTATTATTAATCAATAGTTATTGATATCCTATTACAAGTCTGACACAAGGAATTGTGTACACATTCTTGAAGTCAAATAATAAGTCAGAGTAATATTTGATGTTCAGTAGTTAACACAGAATATTCCTATCCATGGGATTTCTTCCTCAAAGGATAATAATGACTAAATTTATTAAATGTTTGTTCTTTGCCTAACACTCTTTTAGATGTCCTTTATAATTTTTTTTTTAGTTTTTATTTAGTTTTCATTACACAGGAAGTTTAACTCTTTGCCAAAAGTCATATGACTTGAAAACGGTAAAACCAGGATCAGCCTTAGGCAGCCTGATGCCATGATTCTTTGTTCTAAGTAACAGTGGATATACATAAATCTTTTGAGATGTGTCATACAGTCTCTTCTTTCAATCCACACAGATTTATTGAGAATACGGTACATGCTCCTAGTGGGTAGAGAGGAATCAGACATAGCTCCCGCCGTCAAGGAGATCTGAGTTTCATGATGAAGATACAAAAATGAAAATGACTATGTGTGGAATGTGCTAATAGTGATATGAGCAGGGCAAGCTCAAGGCACGAGGGAAGGTCAAAGGAAGCTTATGAAAGAAAGAGATTCTTCGGCAGTGTTAAGGTAAGTAGACGTGGAGTGGCATTTGAAGCAGAAAAACAACATGTGAGAAAATCCATGATGCATTTGAGAAGTTACAGGATTTGGGGGCTGGTGTTTATATGAGAGCGTGTAGGAGACATGAATTAGAAAGACAAAAGGTGGACGTGAATTCACGTTGTATGCTAAAGTGAGGAGTTTGACATTTATCAAGGAGGCATGGAGGTTCTTTGAAAACATTTAACTAGGACAATGACCAGAGAAAATTTTCTTGGCAAAGATCATTATATAAAACATATCAAGAAATATTTTTATCACGTCTTTGAATTAACGATATGTTTTAGGGAAACATTTGTATTAAATCCTCATTTTTGGGATTTCCACTAATGCATTTCAGTAGGGAGTATTACTAACACTACTTATCACAACTAACAACAACTACTATTTTTTTTTAAGTTTACAGCATGCCATGCTTTCCACTCTTTATCTTCCATCTATTCTGACTTCTTTATTATTCCAATCTTTAGATAAAGAAACCGAGGCTTAAGAATGTTAGGGACTGTGGTGGGGTCGGGGGAGGGGGGAGGGATAGCATTGGGAGATATACCTAATGCTAGATGACACGTTAGTGGGTGCAGCGCACCAGCGTGGCATATGTATACATATGTAACTAACCTGCACAATGTGCACATGTACCCTAAAACTTAAAGTATAATTAAAAAAAAAAATTAAAAAAAAAAAAAAAAAGAATGTTAACCTTTACAAATTTGCCTCAGAATCATGACCCTGTGAAGAAACCTGAACACAGAAGTCTTAAATGGATCCCATATGAACACCCTTTTCTGCCCTTCATATGGGACCCTCCTTCGAGTCCCCACTGCATGTGGGCCATTGTGCCAGGGCCAGTTCCAACCCAGTATACCCAATCAATGGCCATGCTCCTGTCTTCCTTGATAGCAAACCTTGATTTTGTTCTGGCAGTAGTTCTGACCGGGACATACAGGCACAAGGGTTCTGGTGACCTACTGGGAAAGATATTCCTCTGATAAGAGAAGCATGTGAGATGATGGTCCCCTTCAGTCTTTCTTGCTTGCTTTGGTTTTGTATGCTCTTGGAGAATGTCATATTCAGAGCTGAGTAGCTCTCATGTCATCTGTTAATAGAGATCTTTGAAGACAAAAGCCAACATGCTGAGGATGGTGGGAGAAATAAATGTGAAGATTTCAAGTGTCTGTGTGGGATCCTGTGATATGCTGTCCAGATCTCACTGCAGGAAGGAAAGATAATTACTCCCACCCTTCGAAGTGCTGCTGCCCTCAACTGTCGATCCCTTCAGGGATTGTATCAGCAGCACAGAGCGTCCCTTCCTAAGGTCCTAAATCCCATAACTAATGGGCTCAGGATCTCTAAGATGGCAGCCTTTTCCTCCTAATGGAAGAGAGCTCTGAAAGGTCATCTAGTCTCCAGAACTCCTCATTGAAGGTCAGCTGTTTTCCCTGGGCCTTTATAACAATTGGACTTCTCCCTGTGCAAATGCTGCCTCTTTTTCTTTCCTTCCACAATGTTGATCCCCAAAGTACTCTGCAGTAAACCTTTCGCAGGCTAAAAACAATTTTAGAGTCTGATTCTTGGGGAACCCAACCTGCACCAGTCCTTGATGGCTGTTTTGGGCTGCTGAACTAACTATGGATCATTTATATCTAGGTATTTTGTTAAGCTACCAATACACATATCTTATGGTTTAAACTATATTTGACACTGATCACAATATTTTGTACACATTTGTTTATCCTTCCTCCTTTCTAGCTAAGCTGTGAGGTCATGAAAAGTGTTCACTATTGTATTAGTCTGTTTTCACGCTGCTAATAAACACATACCCAAGACTGGGTAATTTATAAAGAAAAAGAGGTTTAATGAACTCACAGTTCCACATGGCTGGGAAGACCTCACAATCATGGTGGAAAGTAAAAGGCATGTCTTACATGGCAGAAGCCAAGAGACAATGAGAGCCAAGCAAAAGGAGTTTACCCTGATAAAACCATCAGATCTCGTGAGACTTATGCACTACCACGAGAACAGTATGAAGGAGACTGTCTCCACAATTCAATTATCTCCCACCGGGTTTCTCCCACAACACATGGGAATTACGGGAGTTACAATTCAAGATGAGATTTGGGTTAGGACACAGCCCAACTATATCAACTACGCTATCCTCATCACTGCGTCGCCCTCCGAGTTTATAACAGTAAATTAAATCTAATAGGCACCCAATAAATATGTGTTACATGAATGAATAAAACCTATACTTATCTAAATGACTCATATTCATGGCCACATCCTGGTACACTGAACTATTTTTGCAGAGCTAAACTTTGTACATGGTGAATTTTCTAAATCACACATTTCAGAAAATGCACTAAGCAACCTGAAAAGGATCACATGCCATATCTAATTTTTTCAAAAAATGTGGCCAGTCTCAAATTGAAAGTTAGTGTTTAGATCTTTATAAAACATTCTATTGGTGGTACAAGACAGCATATTTCAAAACATTGGGTCCTGAGAAATGGTAAACCTACACCAAGCTTTACTCTCTAGAACCTAGTTCCCTCAGAACAAAGTTCATAAATTATTATTTTTTTCTTTATGCAGCTGCAGAGGTAAAACAAAACAAAATGCACTTACAACAAAATAAACAAAAAGTCCCAGGTTCAAATCCTAGTGTGGATGCTAACTAGAGCTTCATCTTGGGCATGAAGTTCTTCTGTTTATTAAATGGGAAAAATCAAGTGTTCTAAGAATGCTTCTTAATTCATTTTAAAGCTGTGATTCAGGCATTTATTCCCAAGTTTTGTGTGCTTATTTTCTGTTTATGATACCATGTGCTAAATTTGTTCTATAATATTTTAGCAAGGAATCATTTTTTCTCTCTTTATTCTTACATTCTCCTGTTAGTTCCTAAGAATTGCTTATTTGCCTGGCGCACTCAGAAACTAAGAGCTAGGTTAACACTTAGATCTCCTTATTAAAATATTTTCCTTCTCTTTCATAGATATTATCTTCCACTTCTCTTATATTAGCTGTACTTTATAACTGTGTTTTACTGCAAACAAGGTCTTCTAGGAAGTACGAAGGCATTTACATTTTTATGTAAAATTTAATGCATGCAATATTAAAAAGAACTCTACCATTTATTGATTATCTTCTATGAATTCAGTGCTTCCAAATCTTTAATCTTAAAAGAAACCTGACAAGGTAAAGAATTTGTCATCTTCCAAATGAGGAAAGTTAGGTTTTGGACAATTAAGTAACATACCCAAGGCAACTCAGTTAAGTCAGTGGTGTATTGAGGATTAGAAGTCAAAGCTCCATGATCCCCAAAGTTGTATTGTTTCCTATACACCAGAGGGCAAAGAGACAGGCAAACAGCAGCTTCCAAGGACATAGATAACTGTTTGCAATTCCTTGCCAAGACGTAAGATAGAGATAACTATTTTTATGAAAATCAAGACTTACATGGAGCTTAATTAATACAATGTTAGATTTTAGAAATTATTTGACAAAAACCTAATGAAAGAATATCGACCAATTTTTTGCATCTATATTTTTCTTTTTTAAGAGATTATTCTTCCCAGTGACCTTCTTAAGTAACCATTAGTAAATAAGGATTACTTGATAAGTTAAGCTTAGAGAAAACTTAGAATGATTAAACATTTAAAAACTTGGCTAGTTTTATTCTTTTTAAGGTGTCAGAACTTGGAAGGAGATGCAGAAATACATAATTTAATTTTCCCCAATTTATTAATCAAATAATATATTAGCTACATGGAGGGCATTTTAAAATAAATAAAATGATCTACTTGGTCATCACTATAACACAACAGTTGTTTTCATTTCTTTTTCTTGTATTTCCTTTAAGCCTCTCACAATATGAGGTTGTGAAATCTTTATATTTGAAGTATTTGTTAAGAATAGCATACCGATGGGAACACAAGATCTTAATAAATATGATTTGATGAAAAGACACCAAAGTTCAGCTTTTGCTCCAGAGAATACAATGTAACCAGCTTTATTTGATATAGAATCATTTACACAGACTGTGGCCTCTAGTTAGAGCTCACAACGGCAGAAAGAAATATTGAATATGAAGAAAAAGATATTTTCCAGTGAGATATTAAAAGATGACATAGGCTGAGAGATCAGGGAGGGGGGCAGTTTGAAAGGGGAAAGATGAAGAATAGTTTCTAGCATGTAGAGAGATAATATCACTGTGTTTTTTTTTTCTTAGAATATCTTTTCAACCAAAAAAGGGACATTCTGTTCACTGAATAAAGGGGTAAATAAATGAATAAAATCAGCTTTTTTTTTCCTACACAGCTGCAGTGGTAAAACAAAATGCACTTACAAAAAAAAAAAAAAAAAAGAAAAGAAAGAAAAAGAAAAAGATAAACAAGAAGTCCCAGGTCCAAATCCTACTAAGCAGGGTCACCCGTCAGCAGGCTGCTGCAGCCACCTAGGTGATGGCAGACAAGTGGTGTGGACGAGTGTGATAGCAGCGGAGATGAAGAGAAGCTTGAGAAATGGAACTTACTTGAGATTAGGAAGTTTGTGCTTGGGAAATCCACAAATTATCTCCCTGGACTGAAGCTACATGGAAAACAAAATCAAAACCAGAGACCATGTCCAAGTTTACCACAAATGATTACTTTGATAGGATCTAAAATGTTTGTAACCCGAACACCATTTCTTGAAGGCAAATCTGATGAGCCGAGAGATAATCAAGAGGGTGGCTTTGTGGGCATAGAATTTGAATAAGGGAGCTAACTGACTCGGATGCTGACTAGCACTAGGGAACATAGCCAGATTCAGCATTCTCACAGTAAGAATGGTCTGGCCAGCAAGGTCAGAAATACTTGAAGTGCAGTGGCCATACTTCTGTGCCTCTTCCTCCAGGAATCATTTCACCGTTGAGATGGGCAATGCTGCTGCCTGGACACTGATATTCCTCCTCCTCAGTCCCTGCTGGCTACCCCTGCTCTGTTTGCTTCTAAAACGTTTTTTTGCTACATTCCTGGGACTAGCAAACTTCTGTTTTTATAGTTCATTTATTATTATATAATTGTCTAGTGGGGATTAAAATTTGCCCATTATTGCCAAGGTATATAAAAGAATATAGCTACTATTTTTTCTACAAATGATCAAAATATTCTCACAAGCCTTTCTTTCCAGAGGTAGAGGGGGTCAAAAGGGGAGATTAACAATTAACCACTTTTCTCTTCAAATTATTTTGGGTTATTTCTCATATCTTTCTCTTTGGAGAGACTGTGTCTTACTTTGTTTGAGCTATTACATCAAAATATCTTGGATTAGGTAATCAATAAATGACAGAAATGTATCGCTCTCAGTTCTAGAGTTTTAGCTGGGAAGCCTAAAATCAAGGCGCAACAGATACAGTGTGTGGTCAAGGCCTAATCCTCATATATGGTGGCTTCTTACTGTATCCTCACATGATGAAATAAAGAAACAGGCATCCTCGAGCCTCTTCTCTAATGGCACAAATCCATTTGGTGGCCCTCATGACCTGATCACCTCCTGAAGGCCCCACTTCTGAATATTATTGCATTGGAGATTACATTCAACATACATATTTTGGGAGGATGCAAATATTCAGACCATCACAGACTGCATGATCAAATTCAAGACTGAAATAGTCTAACGGTATTGTTTCTCTCCTCTAAAGCATCTCCTTTTCTCCTCCTTCTCCCAAATATGGCTTTTTCTTTTTTTGAGCCTTGCACTGTCACTCAGGCTGGAGTGCAGTGGCATGATCTCGGCTCACTGCAACCTCCACCTCCCAGGTTCAAGTGATTCTCCTGCCTCAGTCTCCCAAGTAGTTGGGAATACAGGTGCCTGCCACCATGCCTGGCTAATTTTTTTTGTATGTTTAGTAGAGACAGGGTTTCACTATGTTGGTCAAGCTGGTTTCCAACTCCTGACCTCGTGATCCACTTGCCTCAGCCTCCCAAAGTGATTACAGGAGTGAGCCACCACTCCCAGCCCTTCTTGATAAAGAAGGAAGTTCGTGTAATCTCATGTCAGTAAGAAAAGGAGTCTAGCTGGGGCCCTGTGCCCTTACTAGTTTCTAGCAAGTGTGGTTGGCCTGGTTGCTGTGCACATATTTTTCTTTCTAATTTAAAATTTAAAACAAAAAATGTATATGCGGGTGTTTCATTTTGGTGCTCCCTGCCCCAGATCAAGTGTGAACACTGGGTTGTCTGCATTTTTTACAGATTCATCTTTCAATACATCTCTCCTTACTGATCTTCACCTCCTAGGTCATTCCAATGAAGCAAGGACTATGAACAGCAGCCTGCATCTTTTTCTATTTTTCCAGCCTCTCTGGGGCTCCTCTGCTATCTCCTCACCCCAGTGTCTCCTCTGGGCAGGGCCGTTTGAGGGACTCAGGCAGTATTCTTAACTTAACTGAATCCCTTTTACATCTTTCTTCTTCTGGCCTCACACCTAGAACTGAAAGTTCTCTCAACTCGTCTTTCTGTCTAGCTTCCGTTTCTTCTCCCTTGTGGCCTCAGTCCTTTGCCTTTTTTTTTTTTTTTTTTTAAATGGCAGAAGGTATTTGTGGAAAGCCTGCTTACTGATAAAATACATAAGGGGGTACTCTTTAGATACTATCACCTTTAGGCCAGTCAAGGAGCTAAGATAGTACTATTGTTTATCTTTTCTCTGACCTTTTATGTGTGTATGGTTGATCTTAGGGATTTACTCCCAGGAGGCAATCTCTCTTTTGTCAAAATTCTTAGGGATACAGATAGTCTCTAAAGATAAATATATATTTAAAAACAACAGAACACATACACACACACACACACACACGAAGGAGAAGAAAGAGATAATTAATATTTTAGAAGAGTTGATGTGCTAGACACCGCTAGAAGATTCACACACATTTTCAAAATCAATAACTCACAAGAACTAAATCCTCTATTATAAATCTAAAAATGGAGACTGCCAAAATCTCAGGTTTATGTAGTTATGTATTTACTGATGTCCCACAAGTACTCCAAACCCAAAATGGCTGCTTATCTCTGTATAGAGGCTCCTCATTCCTCATCTCCCATTACAGTGAATGTCGCTAACATCGAAACATACTCTAGGGTCAGAAAGTTTGTCATCATGCTATATCACTTTCTTTAAGCCATTCTCTTATCTAAGCAAATACAAAGATTTTAAATTTCTGCCACCTTAAAATATTCTTCTTTTTTGTCCTGTTTTCTCCATCTACTCTGTGACTGGCTAGACACAGACATTTATCACTGCTCACTTCCACAATGCAATAGAATCCTAAATGGCCTGTTCTATTTCATATTCCCTGTATTATTTCTAAAACATAGATTTGATCAGGTCATATGATATGGTTTGAATCTATGTCTTTACCCAAATCTCATGTCAAAATGTAATCCCCACGGTTGGAGGTGGGGCCTGGTGGGAAGTAATTGGATCACAGAGTTCTCATGAATGGTTTAGTACCATCCCTCTTGGTACTGTATAGTGAGTGAGTTCTTATGAGATCTGGTTGTTTAAAAGTATATAGCACCTTCACCCTTGCTGTCTTGGTCCCACTCCTGCTATGTAATATACTTGCTCCGTTTGCCTTCTACCATGAGTAAAAGTTCCCTGTAGCTTTCCCAGAAGCAGATGTTGCCATGCTTCCTGTACACCCTGCAGAATCATGAGCCAATTAAACCTCTTTTCTTTATAAATTGCCCAGTCTCAAGTATTTCTTTATAGCAATGTGAGCAGGAATTAATACATCATATCCTCACTTAAAATTCTTTAGTGGTTCTCCATTTCTTCCTTAAGAAAGTCCAGCCTCCTTAGCATGATTTGAAAAGCTCCTTGATTTGCCTATTTGCAGTCTTATTTCTATGCTTTGTGGTATTTCACACTTCTATGCCTTTGCTCTGCTCTTTTCTTGGCTTTAAACATATTTTACTTATTTACCTGTCTCTGTCAGTTTATTTACTTGCCAAAATTAACCGAAGAGTAAAGATTTTCTAATGCCCCAAATAAGATCAACCCATTTTCCTTTGTGCTTCTACAAAGTCATATACGATAGGATGCTTTCTTCCTTACGTGCATCTAGTTATCCAGGGATATTAGTGTTAGTATATCTTATGCCCAGAAAACTCTCTGCTTCTTAGTAAGCACCTAATAAGTATTCAAAGCCATGTTGAAAGAGAAATAAAGAGGAAAATAAAAGTAAGAAAATATAGAGCATAAAAAGGAAATAAAAACAACTGGCCAGGATCAGCTCAGAGCTAGCAGGGGCTCCCCATTGCAGGAAAAGGTAAAAGAGAGATCCTCAATGCTCCACATTCAAACTACAGATGTCTGCAATACCGACTACGAGAGAGCCCCTTGGCCCTTATAGTTCCTGAGCTTAGTACAGGGATCTGCCTAGAGTCCGCATGACTACATTGTCCCAGAAAGGAAATTCATGCTGGGTCTCACCCACTCCCGGATCACAAGCTGCTGTAAGAAAGTGCTATTTTGAGAGCTGAGCCAATATCATACTACCTCTTTTCCTGGGTCTCAATAACCCTTGAATTTTCAAATCCCTGGGCTGCTACCAACATCCCTCATATCTACTCACAGGCCTGCAGCATTGAGACATCAGCTTCACTCGGTGTATCAGCTATGTCCCTAGTACCTGAGCCCAGGAAGCACCTTATAACTTGAGCAACAGGTAGTCAGCACATCAGGGAGGCTACTTTTGGAATACAGGGAGCCAAAATATTTGCTCCATGAAGCCTGAGAGCCACTCACCCAAGGCCTCTGCCATTAACAGTGACTCAGTCCCCTCCAGCATTGGGATTGCCACACACCTGATTGTTCTGCCTAGGGAACCAAAACTTGGCCCATTTAGGCTGCTAATGCCACTCCAGGTGCTAGTACACACTGCCCAGGGATGCAAGGAGACCAGCCAGCCCGAGACTGCTGCTGCCATTGCTAATGCCTGTGTATGTCATCTGGAGGCCTGAGGACCAGCCTGCCAAGGCTGTCACCACCAGTAATCTCACACACTTCCATGGGATTCAAAGAACATTCTCACAAGGGTCTGCTGCAGCTGGTGCCCATACATGGCACTCAGGGGCCTAAGACCTGGCCTTCCTGGCAACCTACTTCCCAGAAAAGCATCAATACAGCCTTCACAAGTAATGGCAGCCAGAGTCACTGAGGAACTCATACATACCATTGAGATTAATTACAGCTTAAGAAATCATATGAAGACTCTGATACCCACCCAGAAACAAAGCCAAAGTTCTCTGATCAACTGACACTATAGATTCATCTACAGAAAAAAGTCTTTCCTTATAAAAGCTACCCCATAAAATTGGAAGAAGCAACTGTTGCACAAGATGTGCATATGTCCATGTAAGAACACAAGAAACATGAAAAAGCATGAAAACATAGCACCGGCAAAGGAATACAATGATTCTCCAATAAAAGACTCCAAATGAAGCTTGCAGTGAGCCGAGATCGTGCCACTGCACTCCAGCCTGGGCGACAGAGCGAGACTCTGTCTCAAAAAAAAAAAAAACAAAAAAACAAGACTCCAAAGGAAAAAAAATTATAACATGCTTGAAAAGGAATTCAAAATAATGATCTTAGGGAACTCAGTAAGATACAAGAGAACACAGACAATACAAAAAAATCAAGAAAACAATTCATGATCTAATGAGAACCTAACAAAGAGATAGTTACTATAAATAAAGAGGCCAAGCACGGTGACTCATGCCTGTAATCCCAGCACTTTGGGAGGCTGAGGCGGGCGGATCACAAGCTCAGGAGATCGAGACCATCCTGGCTAACACGGTGAAACCCTGTCTCTACTAAAAATACAAAAAATTAGCCGGGCATGGTGGCGGGCGCCTGTAGTCCCAGCTGCTCGGGAGGCTGAGGCGGGAGAATAGCGTGAACCCAGGAGGTGAAGCTTGCAGTGAGCCGAGATCGTGCCACTGCACTCCAGCCTGGGTGACAGAACGAGACTCTGTCGGAAAAAAAAAAAAAAAAAAAAAAAAGAACAGAACATGGCTGGGCACAGTGGCTCATGCCTGTACTTCCAGCACTTTGGGAGGCTGAGGCAGGTGGATTACTTAAGGTCAGGAATTCAAGACCAGCCTGGCCAACATGGCCCCCCTCTACTAAAAATACAAAAATTAGCCCGGCGGGGTGGCGCATGCCTGTAATCCCAGCTACTTGGGCGGCTGAGGCATGAGAATCACTTCAACCTGGGAGGCGGAGGTTGCAGTGAGCCAAGACTACACTGCACTCCAGCCTGAGCAATAGAGTGAGAATCTGTAAGAAAAAAAAAAAAAAAAAAAAAAAGAACAGAACATGAATCTAGGAAGTGGAAAATTTAATAAATGATAAAAATATAATCCAGAGCTTTAACAGTAGACTAGATAAAGTAGAAGAAAGAATCTGTGCATTTGAAGATAGATCTTTTGTAATAAGCCAGTCATACAAAAAAAAAAAAAAAGAAGAAAGAAAAAGAATGAAGAAAGCCTATGTGACATATGGATGCCATCAAACGAACAATTATTTAAATTATGGCATTCCAGAAGGAAAAGAAATGGAAAAGGACCTAGAAAACATATTTAATAAAATAATAGCTGAAAACTCCCCAAGTCTTGAAAGAAATATAGTCCTCCAGATACATGAAACTTAACATTTCCAAACAGATTCCACCCCCCAAAAAAACCCTCTCTGAGGTATATTATAGTCAAACTGTCAAAAGCTAAAGAGAGAATTCTACAAACAGCAAAAAAATCTGTCAAGTCACATATAAGGTAACCACTATTAGACTTACAGCAGATTTCTCAGCAGAAACCTTCCAGGCCAGGAGAGAATGGGATGATATATTTAAAGTACTGACAGAAAGAGAGGGAGAGAAAAAAAAATGTCAGTGAAGAATACTAGACCCAGGTAAACTATCCCTCAGAAATGAAGGAGAAATAGTATTTTCCAGGCAAGCAAAAATGGAGGAAATTCATCACCACTGGACTGGTCCAACATGAAATCTATAAGAAAGTTCTACATCTGGAATCCAAAGGACAGTATCTATCATCATGCAAAAACACAAAAGTATAAAATTCACTGGTAGAGTGGGTATACAAAAGAGAAAGGAAAAAAAATCTAATATTATCACTACAGAAAATTAACAAATCTCAAAGATTAAAAAGAGGAGGAAGGGAACCAAGGATATACAAAACAGTCAGAAACCAATTAACAAATGACAGCAGCAAGTCTTCATCTGTCTGTAACAATCAGAATGTAAATGGTTTAAATTCCCAAATTAAAAGATACAGACTGGTTGAATGGATTAAACAAACCTAGATCCAAATATATGCTACTCAAAAGAAACTCAGTTCACCTGTAATGACACACATAGACCCAAAGTGAAAGGTTGGAAAAAGACATTTTGTACACATGAAAAGTATATAGGAATGGCAATACTTATGTCAGGAAAAATAGATTTTCAGCCAAAGAATAATTAAAAGAGAAAAAGAACATCATTATATAATGATAGAGGTATCAGTTCACCAAGGGAATATAACAATTATATATGCACTCAACACCAGAATATCTATGTATACAAAGCAAATATTATTAGAAATAAAGAGAGTGAAGGATTCCAATATAATAATAGTCATGACTTCAACACCTATATTTCAGCATTGGATAGATCATGTAGACAAAATCAGCAAAGGAACATTGGAGTTAAACTGCACTCTAGACCAGAAGGACCTAACAGACATTTACAGAGCATTCCGTTCAAAGCTGCAGAATACACATTCTTCTTAACTGCGTATAAAACATTCTCCAGAATAGACCACAGATTAGAGTACAAAACAAGTCTTAACAAATTTTTAAGAATCTAAATCATATCAAGTATCCATTCTGACTACAATAAAGTAAACCTAGAAATTAATAACAAGAGTAATTTTGGAAACTACAAACACATAGAAACTGAACAATATGCTCCTGAATAACCAACAGACCAATATAAAATTTAAAATAAAAAGTTAAAAATTTCTTGAGACAAATAAAAATGGAAACATAACATACCAAACCCTATGGGATACAGCAAAATCGATATCAAAAGGAACGTTTACAGCAATAAATGCTTACATCATAAAAGTAGAAAGATTTTAAATAAAGAACCTAACAATGGCTACCACATGGAACTAGCAAAGCAAGAACAAACCAAACTAAATTAACTGTAGAAAATAAATAATAAAATCAGAACATAATTAAACAAAATAGACACAAAATTAAAAATGATCAATGAAATAAAAATTTATTCTCTTGAAAGAATAAGCAAAATCGACAAATGGTTATCTAGGCTAAGAAAAATGACAGAAAACTCAATCAAAAATATTGGAAATGAAAGATGAGACATTACAACTGATAGCACAGAAATACAAGGGATAATTAGAAACTATTATGAACAACTATATGTCAACAAATTAGAAAACTTAGAAGAAATTGATAAATTCCTAGACATGAGTAACCTTCTAATATTGAACTTCGAAGAAATAGAAAACCTGAACAGATTAAAAACAAATAACAAGTTTGAATCAGCAATAAAAAGTCTCCCAATAAAGAAAAGCTCAGGATCAGTTGACTTTACTGCTGAATTCTATGGAACTTCCAAAAAAGAACATGAATTCTTCTCAAACTATTTCAAAAAATTGAAGAGATGGAAATTCTTAACCCATTCTACAAGTCCAGCCTTACTCTGATAGCAAAACCGGACAGGGACATGACAAAAAAAAAAAAAAATACAGGCCAATATCACTGAAGAACAAGGATGCAAAAATCCTAGAAAAACATTAGCAAACTGAATCCAACAGCACATCAAAAAGATAATAAATCATGATCAAGTGGGATTTATCCCAAGAATGTAAGAATAATCAACATACACAAATAAATAAATGTGATACATCACATCAACACAATGAAGGTGAAAAACTACAAGTTCATTTCAATAAATGCAAAAGAAAGTAGACTGGATAAAATTAATCATCCATTCATTTACAAAAAACCTTTCAACAAATTTTGTATATAAGAAACATACCTCAATACAATAAAAGCCATATAGGAAAACACACAGCTAATATCATACTGAATGGGAAAATGCTGAAAACCTTTCCTCTAAGAACTAGAACAAGACAAGGATGTCTACTTTTACCACTCTTATTCAACAGAATACTGGAAGTCCTCGCCAGAGAAATTAGACAAGATAAAGATATATAGGACATTGAAATTCGAAAACAGGAAGTCAAATTTTCCCTTTCTGCAAATGACATGCTTTTATATAGAGAAAACCCTAGTGGCTTCTCTACAAACCCTTAAGCTGATAAACAAATTAAGTGAATTTGCAGGATACAAAATTGACATACAAAAATCAGTAACATTTCCATACACCAATAATGACTTAGCTGAAAAAGAAATCAAGAAAGCAATCCCATTTTACAATAGATAAAAAATGTTTAAAATATCTAAGAATAAATTTAACCAAGGAGGTAAATATATCTACAATGAAATTATAAAACACTGGTGAAAGAAATTGAAGGAACACAAAAAGTGAAAAGATATCTCATGCTCATGTATCGGAAGAATTCATATTGTTAAAATGATCATACTATGTAAGATGATCTACAGATTTAACACAAATTTCATAAAAATACCAATGGCATTCTTCACATAAATAGAAAAAGAACAATTCTAAAATTTTCATGGAACCACAAAAGATCTCAAATAGTTAAAACAATCCTGATTACAGAGAAAAAAGCTAGAGGCATCACACTACCTGACTTCAAAAATACTACAAACAGCCAGGCACTATGGCTCACACCTGTAATCCCAGCACTTTGGGAGGCTGAGGCAGGTGGATCACCTGAGTTCAAGAGTTTGAGACCAGCCTGGCCATCATGGTGAAACCCCATCTCTACTAAAAACACAAAAAGGAATTAGCCAAGCATGGTGGCATGTGCCTGTAATCCCAGCTACTCGGGAGGCTGAGGCAGGAGAATCGCTTGTACCCAGGAGGCAGAGGTTTTAGTGAGCCAAGATTGCACCCCTGCACTCCAGCTTTGGCAACAGAGTGAGACTCGGAAAAAAAAAAATAAAATAAACACTTCAAACATCTAGTAAGTAAAACAGGATGGTACTGGCATAAAAGCAGACACATAGACCAGTGGTACAGAGAACACAGAAATATATTTACGTATTTATGGTCAACTGATTTTTAACTAAGGTTGCAAGAACATATACTGGGGAAAAGACATCTTCAATAAATGGTGCTGGGAAAACTGAACATCCATGCAGAAGACTGAAACGAGGCTCCTATCTTTCACCATATAAAAAATAAATCAACTCAAAGTAGATTAGAGACTTAAACCTACAACCCAAAACTACAACATTACTAGAAGAAAATATGGGGGAAACACTTCAGGACTTTGATCTAGGCAAATATTCTATAGTAAGACTTCAAAACCACAGGCAATAAAAAGAGAAATAGACAAATGAGATTACAGTAAATGAAACAGATTCTGCATAGCAAAGGAAACTCAGTGAAGACACAATCTGTAAAATGGGAGAAAAATATTTGCAAACTATCCAACAAGGGACTAATATCCACATTATAAAAGGAGCTAAAACAACTCAACTTCAAAAATCAAATAATCTAATTTAGAAATAAGCAAAGGATCTGAATAAACATTTCTCAAAAAAGGAGATGCAAAGGGCCAATAAGTACATGCAAAACTGCTCAACATCATTAATTATCAAGGAAATGGCAAATAACCACCATGAGATATCATCTCATCCAAATTAAAATGGCTATCATCAAAAACACAAAAAATAACAAATGCTGGCAAGGAGGTGGAAAAAATTAAACTCTTACAAACTGTTGGTTGGAATGTAAGTTAGTACAGCTTTGTGGAAAATAATATGGTATTTTCTCAAAAAACTGAAAATAGGAGTACCATATAATTGAGCAATCTCACTATTGGGTATTTATCCAAAGAAAAGGAAAGAGTATTGAAGAAATAGCTGTACTCCCATGTTTGTTGCAGCACTATTCACAATAGTCAAGATACGGGATCAACCTAAATGTCCATCGACAGATAAACAGATAAAGAAAATGTGGTATATATTCATGATGGAATACTATTCAGCTGTAAAAAAGCAATGGAATCCTGTAATTGGAGGCAGCATCAATGAGCTTGAAGGACATTAAGTTAAGTGAAATGAATCAGCCACAGAAAGATAAAGATACCACATGTTCTCATTCATATGTAGGATCAAAAGAAATTGAGCTCACAGAGATAGTAGAATTGTGATTTCTAGAGGCTGGGAAGGGTGAGGAGAAGGGAGGAGAAGTTGTTTAATGGGTGCAAAGTTGTAGCTAGAAGGAAAGACTAAGTTCCAATGTTCTGTAGCACTGTAAGGTGAATATCATTAACAATAATTTTGTGTATACGTTCACAAGCCAGAGGAGAATATTTTGAATAGTCACAAAGCAAAGAAATGATAAATGTTTGAGGCGAAGGATATACTAATTACCCTTATTTGATTATTTAACACTATCTATGTATCAAAATTTTACTCTGTCTTCCATAAATATGTACAATTATTATTTGTCAACTAAAAATAAAAATATAGAAAGTAATGGAAAAGAAAGGAGCGAGAAAGGAAGGGAAGGTTAGTCAGAAATGAAGGAAGAGAAAAAGGAAAGTAGAGAAAAGGAAAGACAGGAGGATGGTAAGATTATTAACCACAAGGTCAGTGTCAAGATTGCTATGTCCACATTTTCAGATGCTTAAGCATTTGTCCTCAGAGTAAGATGAAGGCAAATATGGCCTCTAAAAAGTACATTTGAGAAATCATCCTACCTGGAACACTCCCAGCTTACTTCTCTTCGGTTCCTACTTAGCCAAGCCTTGCTGGGCATTTTCTGCACAAAACATAGTAAGAGTATGTTTTGTTCTATTACTGTTATTTTCAAGACAGATTAGTTAAAATACCTGTTATCCACATCCAAGACTAAGTTATCAGCCTTGGCAGCTTCCAGAAGGGCTGTCTGACCTCCTGGATTGTGATCTGGGTGGTTGCCACATACTCTGACATGAAGGCTCCCTGCCTGACTCTTGGATTCATGGGTCAGTACCTTATAAGGTCAGAGGCCATGGTGTCCCATTATTAGAAGTAAAAAGAAATGTGTGGACAAAGAATGATAAGGCTTATTTGGCATCTGGAAATAGAATAATATTTTGTGGTACTGGATCTGCTTTTGTGCCATATCTGCCTGTCTCTTCTGCTGTTCCTTCTTCTTCCCCGTAGTCATTCCTGTCTTAACTTAGATGGGATGATAATAATGACAATGACAGTGTCAACAACAACAGCAACAACAACACAATCAGTAACAAGTAGCATATCTGTCAGCCATCAGGTACTAAATATATTACATAGAATAGTAAATGTAATTATCAGAATAATTTTTCAAGGTGGGTATCATGTCCACTTTGTAGAATAAGAAGCAAACTTGGAGAGCTGAAGTAACTTAGTCAAATTTACATAGTCAGGTACAGAGTTGGGTTCAACACCCCCACCCCAATGGTTTTCCATTGCCCTAGAGAACATTTCTAACTCCCTACCATCATTTTTCATGAATGGCCTACACACCTTGGTGATATAATCTCCAAATTCTTTCTTCCTTGCACACTTTGCTCTGATTATGCCAATCGAGTGGATTTAATTTTTCATTTATGCCTTGCTCATAAGTGGCTTGGGGCCTTTGTACTGGCTGTTTCCCTTGCTTAGAATATCTATGCTCAATCCTTTACATGGCTGGCTTCTTCTCCTATTCAGAATTCTGCTCAAACATGACCTCCTTGGAAAGGTCTTTCTGGGCACACAATCCAAAGTAGTTCATGATACTCTGCCACACTCCTGTCCCAATTCAAGTGGCCAATAATGCCATTGGCTTCTGAGTTTTGAGACCATATTTCCAAACACACTAGATCATGAGTTTTATATAATCTCTTGGTAAGTAGAAGAAAAAGACATTATGGCCGGGGGCGGTGGCTGATGCCTGTAATCCCAGCACTTTGGGAGGTCGAGGCGGGCAGATCATGAGGTCAGGAGTTTGAGACCAGCCTGATCAACATGGTGAAACCCCATCTCTACTAAAAATATAAAAATTAGCCGGGCATGGTGGCAGGCGCCTATAATCCCAGCCACTGAGGAGGCTGAGGCAGGAGAATCGCTTGAACCCAGAAGGCGAAGTTTGCAGTGAGCTGAGATAACACCACTGCACTCTAGCCTGGGTGACAGAATGAGACTCCATCTCAAAAAAAAAAAAAAAAAAAAAAGAAAGAAATAGACATTATCTCCATTTTATTGATGATGAAGGTGAGGCTAAGAGAGAAATATTAGCAATGAATATAGAAAATTAGCAGATATAGATCCACTGCCATGGGCCCAAAATCATAATGGGTACTTTCACCTCATTACCACAAACAATATGTTATCTCTATCACAAAGAATCAGACACAGGTTTTGAATTTCAAATCCAGCAGTTAATCTACCCTATCTTCCTCTAATAATCATAGCATACATAATAGTTATACAAAATAGTAAGCTTTTCAAAAAAAATCTTAGTTTGCCTATACACAATCAATAAAGAAAACTTGGTGATTAAATAAATATATATGGTGTAGATCAATCAAAGTTTCGGTTGAGAGTAACAGAACAGCAAAAAGAGAAGAGAAAATGCCCAGTTTATTTGTGTAATCCTGTTAGTTCCTCAGAAAGTGCTCCATTGACTTGGTTTTAATTAAGCTTTCCTTAAGCCTAAGATTTCTGGTAATCTAAGTGAGTGTCGGTGCCAGGTGGAAATATGCCAAATACTCCCAGATCTAATTTTAAAAATTCTTCTTCTTAGCAAACATCCATGACACAGATACTGCTGAAAAGTGACCTGTATCCAGCTGAGGAGCACTGGTTGTACATTTGTGTTTGGTGCTGACAGAAGAGTCTACGCTACTAAGAATATTAAGTTATCATCTGGCCTCTGGATTGAGGAGGTAGCATTATGTAAGGAAAACAGCTGGATTAAGCATTAGTAAACTAGTTTTGCTACTAACAATCCATGTGGCCTTGGGGATACTAGGGCACTTTTCTGAATTTAATTTCTATCAGTTGTCTGAATTAAGTAGATCACGCTACGGACAAAAACGCCTCCTGGAATTAAAATGTCATACTTTCTGCTTTTTATTTAAAATAGGTAAAAAGCTTTATGCATTTCTTTAAACAAGGCAACATTTAAAAACTATTTGTATTGAATCCACCATTCTTCCTCTAGTCTTGAATTATTCTACCCTTATTTGTCTGCTTAATTTCTGCCCATTTCTTGAGAGTGACCTCAGATACCGCCCTCCCTGCCCTTTTTTTTTTTTTTCGGAGACAAGGTCTGGCTCTGTTGCCCAGGCTGGAGTGCAGTGGCACAATCTCGATTCACTGCAACTTCCACCTATTGGGCTCAAGCTACCCTCCCACATCAGCCTCCTAAGAAGTTGGGATTACTGGTGTGCACTACCATGCCCAGCTAATTTTTGTATTTTTGGGAGAGATAGCGTTTCACCACATTGCCCAGGCTGGTCTCAAATTCCTGAGCTCAAGCGATCGATCAGCCTCAGCCTGCCAAAGTGCTGGGATTTTAGGCAAGAGCTACTGTGCCCAGAAAGATACCCCCTTTTTTTAGTAAGTATTTACTGACTACTTCAGGTTGCCCTATTACTGACTACTTCAAGTTGCCCTAGTTGGCCTCTTCTTGGTGCTCATAGTCTTCTCTTTTATGTCATTGAGTTCATGGACTCTGTATTTGGTCATTTCTCTAACTATGGCACATTATATAGCATAATCCCCATAGCAGATGGACAATAGGCATGTTTGAATCAATAAATGAAAGATAATAATAAAGAATAGAAATAAGTAATATCTTTCTTACACTTTCATAAAGCTTTAAATTTTACACATTGTTAAATAGGCTTTTTGTTTATTTATGTGTGTGTTTTTGGTTTATTTTATAGATAAGTAAATGGAGGGTCAGAGACACTGTTGGTTACCCAAGATCGTATTCCAGATCACTGGTGAAGCCTGTTAGCAACTCCAAGCATTTGAGCTAGGATCTGCTACTTCTCAACACTAGGCTACAGACATTCTCAGCAGTTATCATCTTACTGGGCTTAACAATAATGTACAAGGAACATAACTGCAAAGTGGGCTACTGTGTCTCACAAGATGAGAACAAAGGAAGTGCTGGAAGAGTTTCAAGTCTGGCTGCAGAAAGCTGGAAAGATGACAGTCTACTTGGGAAAATGATACAAAATGTCTGAAAATTTAAGCAACTGCTCAAGACTCCTGTCTTATGAGGGAAAGGAGGCGGGCTCCCTCACAAGACATTAAGGCTGCCTGTGAGGGCTGTCACCAGTAGTGTTACTAAGTTAAGATCCTAATGTACAGTGTGGACACATGAGTGTTTCTCTTTCTTTTACAAATGCTGCTAAAGAACATGCCCATAGAGGATATTTGCAACACCTTATAAACTAAACCTGACAATAGGAAAGACCATACAAAAAGTATGTACCTTTTAACTTTTTTCCCTTAAGAAAGAAGTTCTAGGTAAGGTAATCAGGTAAGAAATTATTCAAATAAAATTAGAAAAATCAAATATTGCTCTGGTTATACATGTAAAATAATTGCATTTATTCATTAAAATAATGCATTGTATGTATTGATCCATCTATAATTTATGAGGCACTGGGCAACCTAATCATGAATTCACTCAGTCATTTATTGTGTCTGTTATTTCAACCCACATTATTGAACTTCTGTTATGTGCAAAGCTGTGGCCAGGGTGTGGATTTCTCCATGGATAAGACATATTCTGTCCTAGAGAGGAGGCTAGAAAAACTACAGTTTAATGAGCAGATATTAGATGCTCTGTACTATGCTAAGAATTTTATGCACAGTATTTCATATGAAAATTGTAATAACTCTGTTAGGCAAGGCTTATTGTAATGTTCTTAGAGATGGTGTATTAGTCTGTTTTCACATGGATAATAAAGATAATGAGACTGGGTAATGTATAAAGAAAAAGAGGTTTAATGGACTCACAGTTCCACATGGCTGGGGAGGCCTCACAATCATAGTGGAAGGTGAAGGAGGAGCAAAGTCACATCGTACATGGTGGCAGGCAAGAGAGTGTGTGTAGGGAAACTGCCCTTTATAAAGCCATCAGATCTCATGAGACTTATTCATTGCCACAAGAACAGCATGGGAAAAACCCACCTCCATGATTCAATTACCTCTCACTGGGTCCCTCCCATGACACGTGGGGATTATGGGAGCTACAATTCAAGATGAGATTTGGATGGGGAAACAGCCAAGCCATATCAGGTGGGAAAATGAAAACTTAGAGAGCTGAAGTAAGTTGCATAATTCACTTAGAGTTGGTTAGTGGCACACCCAGACTGGAAATCCAGGTCTCTCAAATTGCAAGTCTTTAAGCCAAACCATGGGGTAAACAGCTGAAAATTCTGCTAAGTTGCAAATTATGATTCAGCTTATCTGATACAGGGCCTAAGGTTCTGCTTTTCTAGTGAGTTGCCACATGATAACCATGTTTGTGGTCTATGAACCAAATTTTGAGCAGCAAGGATACAGAAGACCTACATATTCAACTCTTCCTTCCAAAAAAGGACCTAAATTTTACTCAGAGTTCTCTTCTCTCCCTCACTGCAGCCCATGTGACTCAATGGAGTCGGACCCTATGTCCATCTCCAACCTGAATCTTGGTCACTTTATTACTCTAATATTTTATTTAATTTTAATTAAATTAATTTAAATAGCACTATGGTAGTTAATATAAATAGCCACAGTACTATTTAAGTTAAATTCATTACAATTAAGTAAAATAAAACTTTTATTTCCTCAGTTGCTCCTGCAGCCTTAAAGTGTATAATAGCCATATCTGGCCAGTGGCTACTACATTGGCCAGTGCAGAATGCGGCATTTCCTTTTTGCAGAAAGTTCTATTGTGCAGCACTGAAAGTTTAGAGTAAACATAGTAATTCAACTTCCATTATCTCAAAATCCTCTTTTTAAGAGCATGATACTCCCCTAGCAACTACTATCAGCCAACACATGTATAGTTCAGCTAGACCGGCCCAATATGATTGAAGGACAGGACTAAAATCCTTGGTTAAGGGAGAGGTTTCCTCTCTCTTTCTTTACACACTAAATTAAACAAGGAAATGTGTATCTCCACTTGTTGTTGGCAGCCTCTGCGGCCTTCGGGTGAAAGGAGGACTTCTGGAGGGCAAAACAGAACCCCTGGTGGACTTGCAGTAGAACCTCACCTTCCTTTTTATTTATAGCTTCAGTGGTTATGAGCCCTGACAACAGTTAGTCTGCTTACATTACTAGACAGACCCATTGTAGTAGAACAGAAAAAACAAAGCTAGATTGCAAAGACTGGAATAAATAACTAATTCTTTAATGTGTAGATATATTCACAAGCATCAAGAACAATCAGAAAATTAGGACCTAATTAAAAGGACACAACAAGGTTCCTGTGACAGGCTCTGAAGAGATGGAGATGTATGATCAGTTACACTAAGAATTCAAAATAGCTGTGTAAAGGAAGCTCAGTGAGCTTCATGAAAACATCAAGAAACAATTTAAAAAATTATCAGAGAAATTTGACAGAGAGACTAAAATAATAATAAAGAAATCAAACAGAAATTCTAGAGCTGAAAAATATACTGAATGAAGTAAAAAATGCAATAGATAAAGCGTTTATCAGGCAGAAGAAAGAATCAGTGAACTTGAATACAAGCTAGTTGAAAATTCACAGTCAGAAGGAAAAACAGAAAAAAGAATGAAAAGGACTCAAGAAGGCATATGAGACAAATGGAATAGCATCAAAAGAGCAAATTTTGGGGTTATTGGAGTTCAAGAGGGAGCAGAGACAAAAATAAGTAGGATATTTATTCAAAGAAACAATGAGAGAACAATTTTCAATCTTGGAAAAAGATATAAATAATCAGTAGAGGAAAGTTAAAGGTCATCATTCAGATTCAACCCAAATAAGCCTACTCCAAGACATATTATAACCAAATTCTCAAAGGCCAGACACAAAGAGTAGCTTCTGAAAGCAGCAAAAGAAGCAAATGACATATTTTTAAAATTCCAAAACAGCTGACAACAGGCTTCTCAGAAGAAATCTTGCAGGCCAAGAGGCAGTGAAATGATATATTCAGAGTTCTGAAGAAGAAAAAAAAAAGCTGCCAACCAAGAATACTGTACCCAGCAAAAGTATCCTTCTGAAATGAAGGAAAAATAAGGACTTTCTCAGACAAACAAAAGCTGAGGAAATTCATCACCTCTAGACCTTTCTTACAAGAAATGCTAGAGAGAATTCTTCAAAGTGAAAGCAAAGGGTGCTAACATATGATAAGAAAATATCTGATGGTATAAAACTCACTAGTAAAAGTAAACATACAGACAAATTCAGAACGCTTTAATACTGTAATCCTGGTGTGTAAACCACTTGTATCTTCAGTATGAAGACCAAAAGACAAAAATAACTACAATAATTTGTTGAGATAAGCAATATAAGATATAAAATTTGATATCAGTAATTCAAAATATGGAGGGAAAATGGAGTTAAAGAGAACAGGTTTTTTTGTTTATTTTCCTTTTATTGAAATTAAAGTTAAGTTGTTATCATTCTACTATAACTTGCTAAACTATAAGATTTCTTTATATGCCTCATCATAACCAAAAATGAAAATGTACAATAGATATACTAAAAATTAAAAGCAAAGACTCAAACATACTACAAAATACAATTATTTAACCATTAAAGAATACAGTAAGAAAGTAAGAAAGAAAGGGTCTAGAAAACTAATAATGAAATAGCAGTAGTAAGCCCTTACTTATTAATAATTACTTTGATTGCACATAGAATAAATTCTCTAATTAGAAAACACAGTGTGGCTAAATGGGTAATGCAAAAAGAGCTAACTATATTCTATCTACAAGAGACTCACTTAACCTGTTAGGGTACACATAAAGTGAAGGGTGAAAAAGATATTTAATACAAATGGAAACAAAACAAGAGCCGAAGTAGCAATACTTTTATCAGGTAAAATAGACTTTAAGCCAAAAACTGTAAAAAGATGTAAAAAAGCCCATTATATAGTGATAAAGTTCTCGATACAGCAAGAGAATATAACAAGTGTAAATATATGTGCACCTAATGTGGGAACAATTTAATATAGAAAACAAATATTAATATACCTACAGGAAGATACAGACTTCGATATAATAATAGCAGGGAACACTTCACTTTCAGCAGTGAGTAGATTACCCAGATGGAAAATCAAAGAAACACTGGACTTGAACTGCAGTCTAGACCAAATAAACCTAATAAATATTTACAGAAAATTCTATCCAAAGCTGCAGAATATACATTCTTCTGGATTGCATATAAAATATTCTCAAGAATAAACCATCTGTTAGGGCAAAAAACAAGCCTTAACAATTTTTTAAAAATCAAAATCATATCAAGTATCCATTCTGACTGCAATAAAACTAGAAATTTATAACAGGAGTAATTTTGGAAACTATACAAACACATGGAAATCAAACAATATGCTTCTGAATGACAAATAGGTCAATAAGAAATGTAAAATACGTTTAAAAATTTTTTTGAGATAAATAAAAATGGAAATACAACATTTTGAACCCTACGGAATACACCTAAAGCAGTGCTGAGAGGGAAGTTTACAGTAATAAACACTGACATCAAGAAAATACAATAATTTCATATAAACAATCTAATAGTGTATCTCAAGGAAGCAGAAAAGCAAAAATGAAACAACCCCAAAATCAATAGAGGAAAAGAATGAATAAAGAAAAATAAGAAATAGAAACTAAAGAAGATCAATAATAAATTTTAAAAAATCAATGAGTTGGTTTTTTGAAAAGATATACAAAATCAACAAAACTTTAACAAGACTAAGAAAAAGAGAAGATCTAAATAAAGAAATCAGAAGTAAAAAAGGAGTCAGTACGAACTGATACTACAAAAATACAAATAATTATGAACAGATACATCCCAAATTGAAAAATCATAAAAAAGTTGATAAATTTTTAGATATACAGCCTAACAAGAGAGGATCATAGAGAAATAGAAAACCCAAAGAGACCAATAATGAGTAATGAGATTGAATCATTAATAAAAAGGCTCTCATCAAAGAAATCCAACAGTTTCATTGCTGAATTCTAACAAACATTTAAAGAGGAACTAATACCAATTATTCTCAAACTATTCCAAAAAATTGAAGGGAAGGCAATTATTCCAAACTCAATCTCTAAGGCAAGCATTACCCTGTGATATGGTTTGGCTGTGTCCCTACCCAAATCTCATCTTGAATTGTAGTTCCCATAATCCCTTTGTATTGTGGGAGGGACCTGGTGCGAGGTAATTGAATCATGGGGGCAGGTTTTCTCCTGTGCTATTCTAGTGATAGTAAATAAGTGTCACAAGATCTGATGATTTTATAGAGGGCAGTTTTCCTGCACATGCTCTCTGGCCTGCCACCATGTAAGAACTGATTTTGTTCCTCCTTCACCCTCCGCCATGATTGTGAGGTCTCCCCAGCCATGTGAAACTGTGAGTCCATTAAACCTCTTTTTCTTTATAAATTACCTAGTCTCCGGTATTTCTTCATAGCACTATGAGAACGTAATAATACACCCGGATACCAAAAGCAAAGAAGAACACAATGAAAAGGAAACAAACAAGAACAGAAAACCACAGGTCAATATTCCTGATGAAGACAGATGCAAAAATTCTCAACAAAATATTCACAAACCAAATTTTGTAGTAGCACATTAAAAAGATCATCCACCATGATCAAGTGGGGTTTATTCTAGTGATGAAAGAGTGATTGAACATATGCAAATCAATGTGCATCATACATTATATTAATACAATCAAGAAGAAAAAACTTATGATTATTTTATTATACACAGAAATTCAACATCCCTTTATGCTAAAAACTCTCAACAAATTAGGTATGGTAGGAATGTACCTCAACACAATTAATACCATATACCACATCCAAAGCTAACATCACATAAGTAAGGGCAAGTAAAACGCATTTCCTATGAGATCTGGAAGAAGGCAAGGAAGCCCAATTTCATAATTTCTATTCAAAATAGTTCTGGAAGTACAAGTCAGGGCAATTCGTCAAGAGAAAGAAAAAAAGGTCATCCAAATTTGAAAGGAGGAAGTCAGATTATTCCTGTTTTCAGATAACATAATCTTATACCTAGAAAACACTAAAGACTACACCAAAAACTACTACAACTAATAAACAAATTTAGTAAAGTTGCAAAATACAAAATCAACACAGAAAAGTATTTCTATATACTAACAGTTAACTACCTTAGAATGAAATAAAGAAGACAATCCCATTTGCAGTCGTTACCAAAAATTTCTTAGGAATAAATTTAACCAAAAAAGTGAAAAATTTATATGATAAAATTATAAAACATTGATAAAATAAATTAAAGAGGACACGAATAAAGAGAAAAATATTCATGGATTAGGAGAATTAATATTGTTAAAATGTACATATAACAAAAAGCAATCTATAGATTTAATATAATCCCTGTGAAAATACCAATGCTATTATTTATAAAAGTAAAAAACATCCTAAAATTTGTATGGAATCACAAAAGATCCTAAATAGTCAAAGTAATTATCTTGAGCAATAAGAACAAAGCTGGAGGCATCATACTTCCTGATTTCAAAATATATTACAAAGCTATAATAACCAAGAGAGCATGCTACTGGCATAAAAACAGAAACATAGACAAATGGAGCAGAATAGAGTTCCCAGCAGTAAATTTACACATTTACAGTAAACAAATTTTCTATAAAGATGCCAACGATACACACTGGGAAAAATGACAGTCTCTCTAGTAAATGGTGCTGGGATAACTGGATATCAACAAGAAGAAAAATAAAACTAGACCTCTATCTATCACTATATACAAAAATCAAATCAAAATCAATTACAAATTTGAATGTAAGAACTGAAGTTATAAAATTACTGGAAGAAAACAGGACAAACACTTTATAAGATTTGTTGGGGAAATGCTTTTTTTCAGAATAAGACCTCAAAAGCACAGGTAACAACAACAACAATAACCAAATGGGAATGCATCAAACTGAAAAGCTTATGCAAAAGAAAGGAAACAATCAACAGAGTGAAGATACAACCTATAGAATGGAAGAAAATAGCTACAAACTTACAAGAGGCTTATATGTAGAATACACAAAGAACTCAAACAATTCAACATAGTTAAAAAATCTGATTAAAAATGGGCAAAATATCTGAACACACATTTTTCAAATGAAGGTATACAAATGACCAACAGGTATATGGAAAAATGTTCAACATTACTAATCATCAGAGAAGTGTAAATCAAAACCAGGATGATATTAGCTCACGCCAATTAGATTGGATTTTATCAAAAGAATAAAAAACAAGAAATGCTTGTGTGGATGTGGAGAACAGGGAATTTGTACACTATTGTTGAGAATGTAAATAAGTACAGCCATCATGGACAACAGTATGGATCTTTCTCAAAAAAAACAAAAATAGAACTACCATATAGTCAAACAATCAATTCAAAGGAAATAAAATCAGTATGTGAAAGATATCTACAATCCCATGTTTTTGTAGCACTATTCACAAGAGCCAAAGTATGGAATGAACCTAAGTGTCTATCAGAGAATAAATATATTTTTTAAATTTTGTATATATACACAATTTAATACTATTCCATCATAAAAAATATGAAATTCTGTCATTCACTACCAACCAGATAAGCCTAGAGGGTATTATGTTAAGTGAAGTAAGCCAAGCATGGAAGAACAAATACTTAATGATCTCACACATTTGTGTTATCTAACAAAGTTGATTTTATAGACTTAGAGAATAGAACAGGGATGTAGCTCAGCAAGATAGCTGACCAGACACAGCCAGGTAGAACAGCTGCTATGGAGGGACAAGGACAACTGGTGTGTTCCTAACAGATATTCCAAGAGAAGGCACTGGGAGTAGACGAAGGGAAGACACAGAAGCCGGGCTGAAGGGGAAGGAAGCTGGGAGTCCTTCATGGGGCTACCTCACAGTAGGACTCATTCTTAGCCCCCAGTGACTCAGAAAAATGAGTATGTTATGCTGGCAAGGAGCAACCTGCTCAATTCAACAAGAAGATGTAACTATCCTAAATATATGTGCACCCAACACAGAAGCACCTAGACTAATAAAGCAAGTTCTTAGAGACCTAATAAGAGATGCTGACTCCCACACAGTATTAGTTGGAGACTTTGACACCCCACTGACAGTATTAGGCAGATTATCAAGGCAAAAACTTAACAAAGATATCCAGGACCTGAACTCAGCACTGTATCAAATGGACCTGATTGACATCTACAGAACTCTCCACCTAAAAACAATAGAATATACATTCTTTTTATTGCCATATGGCACATATTTTAAAATCAACCACATAATCAGAGACAAAACACTCCTCAGCAAATGCCAAAAAAAGTAGAGTCATAACAACCGCTCTCTCTGACCATAGCACAATCAAGTTAGAAATCAAGACTAAGAAATTCACTCAAAAACATGTAATTTTGTGGAAATTGAATAACCTTCTCCTGAATGACTTCTGGGTAAATAATGGATGAAGGCTGAAATCAATAAGTTTTATGAAACTAATAAGAACAAAGACACAACATACCAGAACCTCTGGGACACAGCTAAGACAGTGTTAAGAGGGAAATTTATAGTACCAGATGCTCACATCAAAAAGTTAGAAAATTTTCAATTTAATAATCTAACATCACAACTAAAAGAACTAGAGAATCAAGAGGAAACTAACTCCAAAGCTAGCAGAGGACAAGAAATAACAAAAATTAGTGATGAACTGAAAAAAAATGAGACATAAGAAACCATTTAAAAGATCAACCAATACAGAAGCTAGTATTTTGAAAAATTTCATAAAATAGATGGCTAGCTAGACTAATAAAGAAAAAATAGAGAAGATTCAAATAAACAGAATCAGAAACAACATGAGGATGTTACTACCGACCCCACAGAAAAACAACCATCAGAGAATATTATGAATACCTCTCTGCACATAAACTAAAAAATCTAGAAGAAATGGATAAATTTCTGGACACATTTACCCTCTCAAAACTGGACCAAGAAGAAACCGAATCTCTAAATAGACCAATAATGACTCTGAAATTGAATCAGAAATAGTGACAACAACAACAAAAGGCCAGGATTAGACAGATTCACAGCTGAATTCTACCAGATATACAAAAAAAAGCTCATACCATTCCTACTGAAATTATTCCACAAAATGGAGGAGGAAGGACTCCTTTGTATCTCAGTCTATTAGGCCAGCATCATCCTGATACCAAAACCTGGAAGAGATACAGCAAAAAGAAAAATAAAACACTGGGCCAATATCCTTGAAGAACTTTGATGCAAAAATCCTAGACAGTATATTGGCAAACCAAATTCTGTGGCACATCATAAAGCTTATTCACCACTATCAAGTAAGCTTTTTCCCCGGAAGCAAGGTTTGATATATGCAAATCAATAAATGTGATTCATCACATAAACAGAACTAAATACAAAAACCACATGATTGTCTCAATAGATGCAGAAAAGGCTTTCAATAAATTTCAACACTCCTTCATGTTAAAAACTTTCAGTCAATTAGGTATTGAAGAAACATACGTCAAAATAATAACAGCCAACTATGACAAACACACAGCCAACATCATACTGAATGGCAAAAATCTGGAAGCATTCCCCTTGAAAACTGGTAAAAAACAAGGATGTCATCTCTCACCACTCCTATTCAACATAGTATTGGAAGTCCTAGCCAGAGCAATCAGGCAAGGGAAAGAAATAAAGAGCATCCAAACAGGAAGAGAGGAAGTCAAACTAGCCCCGTTTGCAAATGACATGGTTCTGTAGCTAGAAAACCCTATAATTTTGGTCCCAAAGCTCCTTAAGCTGATAGACAACTTCATCAAAATTTCAAAGTCTCAAAATTAATGTACAAAAATCATTAGCATTCCCATACACTAACAATAATCAAGTCAAGAGCCAAATCAGGAACACAATTCCATTCACGACTGCCACCAAAAGAGTAAAATACCTAGCAATACAGCTAACTAGGGAGCTGAAATATCTCTACAAAGAGAGTTACAAAACACTGCTCAAAGAAATCAGAGATGACACACACAAAAAATGGGAAAACATTCCCTGTTCATGGATAGGAAGAATCAATATTGCTAAAATGGCCATATTGTCCAAAGCCATTTATAGATTCAATGCTTTTCTTATCAAACTGCCTTTGAGATTCTTCACAGAACTAAAAAAAAACTATTTTAAAATTCATGTGGAACCAAAAACCAGCCAAAATAGCAAAGGCAATTCTAAGCAAAAAGAACAAAGCTGGAGGCATCATGCTACCCAACTTCAAACTATACTGCAGGACTACAGTAACCAAAACAGCATGGCACTGGTACAAAAACAGACATAGACTAATGGAACAGAACAAAGAGCACAGAAATAAGGCTGCACATCTGCAACCATCTGATATTTGACAAACCTGACAAAAACAAGCAATGGGGAAAAGATTCCCTATTTAATAACTGATGCTGGGATAACTGGCTAGCTATATGAAGAAGATTGAAACTGGACTTCATTACACTATATACAAAAATCAACTTAAGATGAATTGAAGACTTACATGTAAAACCCCAAACTATAAAAACCCTGGAAGACATCCTAGGCAATACCATTCTGGACATAGGAATAAGGAAAGTTTTTATGACAAAGATGCCAAAAGCAATCACAACAAAAGCAAAAATTGACAAATGGAATCCAATTAAACTAAAGAGTGTCTGCACAGCAAAAGAAACTATCAATGCAGTACACAGACAACCTACAGAATGGGAGAAAATATTTGCTAACTATGTATCTGTCAAAAGTCTAATATCCAGCATCTATAAGAAACTTAAATTTATGAGAAAAAACAAACAAACAATCCCATTAAAAAGTGGGTAAAGGACCTGAAGACACCTTTCAAAAGAAGATATACATGTGACCAACAGGCATATGAAATAATGCTCGACACATTGATTATTACAGAAATGCAAATCAAAACCACAATGAAATATCTCATACCAGTCAGAACAGCTATTAAAAAAAAAAAAAAACAGGTGCTGGCAAGGCTGTGGATACAAAGGAATGCTTATACGCTGTTGTTGGCAGTGTAAATTAGTTTAACCATTGTGGAAAACAGTGTGGTGACTCCTCAAAGGCCTAAAAACAGAACTACCATTTGACCCAGCAATCTCATACTGGGTGTATACCCCAAATAATATAAATAGTTTTATCATAAAGACACATGCATGTGTATGTTTATTGCAGTGCTATTCACAATAGCAAAGACATAGAATCAACCTAAATGCCCATCAATGGTAGACTGGATAAAGGAAATGTGGTACATATACACTTTGGAATACTATGCAGCCATAAAAAAGAATGAGATCATGTCCCTTGTAAGACACCGATGGAGCTGCAGGCCATTATCCTTAGCAAACTAATTCATGAATAGAAAAACCAAATACTGCATGTTCTCACTTATAATTGGGAGCTAAGTGATGAGAACACATGGACACATAGAGGGCAACAGCAGACAATGGGGCCTATCAGAGAGAGGATCTGGGATGAGAGAGAGGATCAGGAAAAATAACTAGTGGGTACAAGGCTTAATAGCTGAGTGACAAAATTGTCTGTACAACAAACCCCCATGACAGATTTACCTATATAAGAAACCTGCACATATACCCCTGAAATTAAAATAAAAGTTAAAAACAAGAGAATAGAACAATGGGTTATCAGAGGCTAGAGAGGGTAGAAAGGATCAGGGGATTATGGGATGGTGGTCAATTAGTACAAAGTTAGAAGAGTTACATAGGAAAAACAAGTCCAAGTCTTCCATTGCACTGTAGCATGACTACAGTTAATAATTATTGTATATTTCAAAATAGTAACAGCTAGAAAAGAGGATTCTGGGTTTTCTCCACAAAGAATAAATGTTTGAGGTGATGGATATGCTGATTACTCTGATTTGATCATTACACAATGTATACATGTATCAAAACATCACACTGTACCTCATAAATATGTACAATTACTATATCTCAATTAAAATATAATAAAACTTAAAAAAAATAAAATTCCCTGGTGTGGGTGGCAAATTATATGGTTGCCCTACTATCATTTCTGCACACATGACTTGTTTGACTTCCTCTAGGCCTTTAGCAATGTTGTGGGAGTTCAGGCTGACCTAGAGGCACAGATCTCAAGCTCCAGAAAGCCATTTCCAGCCACTCGCCGTGGGGTAGGCAGTCTATTGGCCAGGAGAAAATTTTCACATTAGGTTGTGAAAATAATTTTGTTTCAGAAGCAAACAGTTTATTTCAGTACAGAGTAAAGGCTTCTGCGGAGATTAACCTGCTTCTGAGCCCTGAAACTTATTTCAATTTATTCAATTATTAAAATTTTCTCCTGGCCAATAGACTGCCCATCCCATGGTGAGTGGCTGGAAACTGCTTTCTGGAGCTTGAGGTCTGTGCCTCTAGGTCAGCCTGAACTCCCACAACATTGCTAAAGGCCGAGAGGAAGTCACACAAGTCATGTCTGCAGAAATGATAATACGGCAACCATATAATTTGCCACCCACACCAGGAAATTTTAATTTTTTTTAAGTTTTATGAAATTTTAATTGAGATATAATAATAGTACATATTTATGTGGTACAGTGTGATGTTTTGATACATGTATACATTGTGTAATGATCAAATCGGAGTAATTAGCTTATCCATCACCTCAAACATTAATTTAATTCACATTTAATTAATTTAGTTCACAAAAATAGTAACAGATGTTACTATTCTCGCTCTCTCTGTGTGTGTGTGTGTGTGTGTGTGTGTGTGTGTGTGTGTGTGTGTGGTGTGAAGAGAGGGAAAGAGTCAGAGACAGAGAGAGATAAAAGAAAAATGTTTAAAGCAAACATGTCAAAATGATTAACAATTAATGAAGTATTATTTTTCAACTTTTTAAAATACTTTCAAAATATAAAACAAAAAGTAAACAACTAAAAATATAATTGGGATAAAATTACTTGTGTTTGGGCAGTGAAGTCAGTGGGTGCTACCATTTGAAGGCAGAAGGTTAGAAGTTAATGAAACTGCACTTTATGATGACAGCCTAGTAAACCTGTGTGCCCATCACTTCTGTAAAGCGCTGACCCAAAAAGAGCTGCACAAGGAACACTAACTTTTTAGGAGCTTGCCTGCCCTTTAACACCAACTGGCTGCTAAAGCGTCATGTACGGCCATCTCCACATCTGCAGGCTAGAACCCAATTCTCCATTTTCTCAACCTGCTCTACCTAACGTATAAAACATTGGAACTCATTTTTATCTAACTCCTCAAAGCCTATTGTACATCATCAGGTTAGACTTTCCATTAAGGACGTAATAGCTATAATTATACTTAAGTCTGATATATTTTTCTAAAGTGGAGAATACAGATTCAGGCACTTCCACTAGAGTTTGAGAAATCTGGGAGGAAATTTAGCTTTCCTGTGCTTTGAGAGTTAAAAGAGTGCTCAAAAGTTGCAAGGCAGTCCTTCACTCTAGGCCTGATTGCTAGGATAAGAGCCAGGGAGCCATGTGGGAAAACCATTTAAGCTTGGAACCCCAGATGAGTCTGTTCTGGCTCACAAGAAGAAGTAAGGCTGAGTCCTCTTTTGGCTAGGGATACATGGGAACAAAAAGGTTCAGGATCACCATGGGCCCCACCAGAGGAATGCAGAGGAGAGGGGTGGGACTATGGCAGATGCTAGCTTCATGGACTACCGAAAGCATCCTAAAGGAGGCATTGAACTTTATTAGCAAAGACCATTTTGTTTGAAATTCCTCACTCCTTCCTATCTTACTCCATTATGAGGCAATGGAACACACAGTAATATAGAGCAGGAAACAGCCAACTTATCTAAATGTTAATGACAATAATTACTGGCCTGGAGAAAATCTTTTAGTTCAACTGAAATATTTCATAAACATCATTGGGAGGATTTGTTGGGGTTAGCGGTTCTCCTAGCAATGAGGGGCCTTTATCAGGACTAGCGTGACTTTCCAGAAGATAATTAACACTCAGCTGGGCTGGTGGCGGAGTTGGTAGCATGGGACTGCTAAACTGGGTGGTGAGGGAGAGAAGGAGGGAAGCACTGTGAAGGTCATGATGAAAAAAAAATCTGAAAAAAAAAAAAAAGAAAAGCAAGGCTATGTAAACTATGAGTATTGTGATGAGTCCAGACTATGTCCTTGACTGTCATTGGCCCATTTCCCACTTATTGTGCAAGACCTACTCAGCTGAAAAACTGTGAACTTGTTTGAGATGTTTTTATTGATTGTAAAAAGGTGAGAGTAAAAAAGAGAAAACAATGGGCCCTGTGAGGAGAAAGAAAGATGTACAGCTAGCCATCCTGAGACCAAGAAAGTACCCTGGGATGTAATGTGAGAAGAACCTTTGTAGGAAATCCCTACAAAAAAGATTCTCAGGGTGTGCTCTCTGGACCAGCAGCACCAGTACCACCTGCAAACTTGTCAGAAATGCATAGTCTCAGTCTGGGACTAAGACTTAGTGAATCCAGATCTTTGAGAGTAGGGTCCAGCCATTTTTATGCTTAATAAGCCTTCCAGATGATTTTGATGTACTCTAGAGTCTGAGAACCATGAATTAGACCCAACTTCTTCTAAGTTCCTATTAGGAGCCAGAGGTGATATCAGGTCCTGAGGTTCAGAGAGATCAAAAGAGAACACTGGGACTAATATAAAAATAGATCTTGCTCCCAGGAATCTTGCAGGAAGGAGCCAGAGGTACAAGAAAGGATAAGGAAAACATAAAGTAAATGAGTGCTGAACAGAAGGTAATGCGCCTGCTTCAGAAGAAAAAAGCTGCTCTGGCAGGAGGACAATTCAGAGAAGTTCTTCTCAAGGACATGGTGGTTGATTTAAAGTTAGATCAACCCTAAGCAGAGTTGCAAAAGGTGAAGGTCAATGTGGCAGAGACTGCTCTTCTGTATATATTTCCTTCTTCTTCCTTGAAAAATTAAAAACCCAAATTAAAAAAAAAAAAAACACCCTCGTTCACTTTTTTCCTCCCTCAGTAGCAACATATTACAGGAAAAGACTACATTTTATTTCCCAGTCCCCTTACATCTAGGTATAGCCAATAATATGTAAACATGAATGGTTAGGTAAAACATTGGAATGGCTTCTTAAGAGGAAACAGATAATATGTAGGTTATTTCTGCTCTCTCATACTTCTATTTGAAATGTGATTGTGATGGGTGGAGTTCCATGAGTCATTTTATATCTCTGAGGACAGAAGCTGCTGCTAAGAACTGTGGATCAAAAGGTAGAAAAGTTGGTGTGATGTCAAAACAAGTTCTGGACTGTTTATTATCTAAACTTTTTGTTTTCATATGAGATACACTATAAATTTAAGCCATTATAGTTGGATGTCTGTTGCTGCGAGCTAAAGATAATTTCTAACACATACAGTCAGGAAAGTCATTCTGGAATGACAGAACAATGGAGTCAATGCACATAGCTGTGAATGTGCATGGCATATTTGGAGAATGGTCATGAACTAAGGAGAGCTGGAGAATGAGGGTTGCAGAATAATTCACAGGAAGAAAAAGCAGATTGAGACTCCCGGGACTGGCAGAAGAAGAAAACAGAAGAAATGATTTATCAGAAAGATGGAGGGTTCTCTGTGTCTTAATGTGTCTTTTCTACAGGTATGTAAACTCAAAGTGAATTTTTCATCCACCAACATCTTCCTTCCCATGTGTGGCACTCATTCTGTGAGTGGCCCCACCATTCACCCAGTTCCACAATGCAGAAAATAAATGGTACACAAGATCCCTCTCTTGTTCCCCAAAGCCCATAAGTCACCCGACCTCAACAAGTCATCTCCTTAAAAAAGCTTGCTCATACCTCTCCCCTTTACCCATTTCTGTCATCAGCACCCAATTCCCATTTCATCTTCTCTCTTGCACGTGCATCCGCTTTCTCTTTCTCTCTCTCTCCGAAGAAAGTGCAGCAACAGCTTATTTCATCTCCTTGTTTCCAAATTAATGGTTTCCACTCCATAGCACACACTGTAACCAGGGTGACATTTAAAAAGGTAAAATGATCACACTGGTTCTTTCTTTAAACTCTTCAATTCCAAGGTATTCCCTGCAGTGATATTCCATAGGATTCAAATAGATGTTGAGAGGAAAAAAATAAATGTTTTCCTGTTTTAGAGACTTTTGAAAAATGTTGGACTTAAACTAAGTTAAACAGCTTCTTTACTCTTTAGCAGCTTTAATAAGCCAATGTGCAATGTGTACCTCCAAAAAATAAACCAGACATATTTGTCTTTGTAACTGGTTGTAGAAGAGCACCTTGTGAGAATGGGAAATTGACAACCAACAATGTGAAGATAAAGCTCCTTAGCCTGAAAGTTAGATTGCCACCATCTCACCCCAGCTGGCATTGCCAGGCTCC
Source organism: Homo sapiens (assembly GCF_000001405.40). NCBI lineage: Eukaryota > Metazoa > Chordata > Mammalia > Primates > Hominidae > Homo > Homo sapiens. The sequence goes on from NC_000011.10 coordinate 80,241,626, forward strand.
TCCAACCCACCCCTGCCATGTTCCTAATACTGCAGCCACCTGTAGCCATTTCATTGCCTACAAAGCGTTCTTGAAAATATCATTGTCCTTTGATTCAGCTGTCCCTGTTCCTGAAATGTCCTTCCCCAATCTGCACATATTGAAATTCTTCAACTGAAAAACAGCCCCAAAGTCAATTTCTCTTTGAAGACTTCCTAGATCCATTCCTCACAGCTCAAAGTAGAACTTTTACCTCCCTCCTTTACCCTCAGATTTCTCTGCATATGCTTATCAGATAACTACTACATAATAAGAGAGTTAGTCATAGACCAGTATACTTAGTTCTCTTCTATAACTAGACTAAAGCGATCGTGAAGTTGAGGAATTCACAATATCTATCCACCCACGCATCCATTCATCCACAATGATGATTAATGTAGTACTCAAAACAAACATTCTGAATTTTGAAAAGTGGTACACATAATAACCTGGAAAACCCTTATTTGTATTACAAATCCAATTTAGGATAGACTTGTACAAAGGTTCAGCAGATCTTTAATACTATATCTATTACAAAAATATAAGGCTAAATACTTAAGACAAATAATTTAAAAAAGTTTTTATGGAATTAAAATACATCATTATCTTTTCTCCAATGTCTCAATCATATTACTCAACTGATTATTTAGCAAGATGCTCCCTCCACATGTAAGACTTCTTGAGGATAGGGACCATAAGTCATTCGTGTTTCCATCATTAGTGTCCCTCACTGTCTCTGTAACTCGTAGGCACTCATGTGATGTGTTCTCTGGTCCTCAAACCTTAATTTGTCTTTCCTTTCTAAGCTAGGCTTATAATCCAATACCTTCAGAATCAGTTTTGAGTAGCTACTACACCCAGTACCATCTTTTACCTATGTTTACATTATACCTTTGCAGTCTGATAAAGAAAAAAGGAAGAGATTGGCAAAGGCTTTGCTATGGACTGAATGTTTCTACCACTGCCCCCACCCCCACCAAATATATATATGTTGAAATTAATCCTGACTATGATAGTACCTGGTGGTAGGGCTTTGGGGGAGTAATTAGAGTGAGATGATGTTGTGAGGGTGGAGATCTCATGATGGGATTAATGCCTTTATGAAAAGAGAGATAGGAAGTTGCTTTCTGGGTATGCATGCACCAGGGAAAAGGCATATGAGGGCATAACTGGGAAGAGAGCCCTCATCAAGAACCCAATTAGGCAGTCACCTTGACATCAGAATTTCTAATTTTCAGAACCATGAGAAATAAGCCACTCAGTTTGCTTATAATGGCTACACACATCGAAGTCTGTTTTAGTCAGTTTGGGCTAATGTAACAAATTACCATATGGTAATGGTAAGGAACCATTGCCTCCATGACTTAAATCAGCGCTCCTACCCCCTACATCCAACATTGGGGATTACATTTCAACATCAGATTTACAGGGGACAAATATCCATCATCATGCCACTCACACATGCTGATATGGTTAGGCTTTGTGTCCCCACTCAAATTTCATGTTGAATTATAGTCCCTATTATCCCCACACGTTGTGGGACAAACCCAGTGGGAGGTAATTTAATCAAGGGGGCAGTTACCTTCATAGTGTTCTTATGATAGTGACTTCTCATGAAATCTGATGGTTTTATAAGGGGCTTTTCCCCGTTTTGCTCGGCACATCTCCTTGCTGCCTCCATGTGAAGAAGGATGTGTTTGCTTTCCCTTCCGCCATGATTGTAAGTTTCCTAAGGCCTCCCCAGCCCTGTGGAACTGTGAATCAATTAGACTTCTTTCCTCTATAAATTACCCAGTCTCGGTATGTCTTTATTAGCAGCATGAGAAGAAACTAATACAGTAAATTGGTACCAGGTAGTGGGGTGTTACCGTAAAAATATCTGAAAATGTGGAAGTGACTTTGGAACTGGGTAAGAGGCAGAGGTAGGAACAATTTGGAGGGCTCAGAAGAAGATAGGAAGATGTGGGAAAGTTTGGAATTTCCTAGAGATTTGTTGAATGGCTTTGACCAAAGTGCTGATAGTGATATGGATGGACAATGGAAGTCCAGGCTGAGGCGATCTTAGAGATGAGGAGCTTTTTGGGAACTGGAGTAAAGGTCACTCTTGCTGTGCAAAGAGACTGCTGGCATTTTGCCACTGCCCTAGAGATCTGTGGAACTCCCAGCTTGAGAGAGATGATTTACGGCATCTGGTGGAAGAAATTTCTAAGTGGCAAAGCATTCAAGAAGAAGCACAGCATAAACGTTTAGAAAATTTGCAGCCTGACTATGTGATAGAAAAGAAAACCTCATTTACTGAGTAGAAATTCAAGCTGGCTACAGAAATTTACATAAGTAATGAGGACCCAAATGTTAACCACCAAGGCATTGGGGAAAATGTCTCCAGGCCATTTTTCCCTAAGAGGGAAAAATCCTTTCATGGACCAGGCCCAGGGTCCCCCTGCAGCCTCAGGACTTGGTGCCCTGTGTACCATCTGCTTCAGCTCCAGCCATGGCTAAAAGGGGCCAACATTCAGCTCAGCCCATTGCTTCAGAGAATACAAGCCCCAAGCCTTGGCAGCTTACACATTGTGTTGAGCCTGCGGGTACACATAAGTCAAAAACTGAGGTTTGGGAACCTCCACCTAGATTTCAGAGGATGTATGGAAACATTTGGTTGCCCAGACAGAAGTTTGATGCACGGATGGAGCCCTCATGGAGAACCTCTGCTAGGGCAGTGAAGAAAGGAAATTGTGGGGTCAAAGCCCCCACACAGAGTCCCTCCTGGGGCACTGTCTAGTGAAGCTGTGAGAAGAGGGCCACCATCCTCCAGACTCCAGAATAGTAGATACACCAACAGCATGCAACATGTGCCTGGAAAGGATGCAGACATTCAACACCAGCCTGTGAAAGCAGCCAGGAGTGGGGTTGTACCCTGCAAAGCCACAGGGGTGGAGCTGCCCAAGGCTGTGGGAGTACTCTTGCATCAGCATGACCTGGATGTGAGACATGGAGTCAAAGGAGATCATTTTGGAACTTTAAGGTTTAATAACTCCCCTATTGGATTTTGGTCTTGCATGGGGCCTGCAGTCCCTTTGTTTTGGCCAATTTCTCTCATTTGGAATGGACATATTTTCCCAATGCCTGTACCCCCATTGTATCTCGGAAGTAACTACCTTGCTTTTGCTTTTACAGGCTCATAGATGGAAGGGACTTGCCTTGTCTCAGGTGAGACTTTGGACTTAGACCCTTGGGTTAATGCTGGAATGAGTTAAGACTCAGGGACTATTGGAAGGGCATGATTGGGTTTAGAAATGTAAGGATATGAGATTTGGGATGGGCTGGGGCAGAATGATATGGTTGGACATTCTGTCCCTACTCAAATCTCATCTTGAATTGTAGTTCCCATAATCACCACATGCCATGGGAGGGACCCAATGGGAGGTAATTTAATCATGGGGGCAGTCACCCTCATGGTGGTCTCCTGATAGTGAGTGAGTTGTCATGATATCTGATAGTTTTTTTAGGGGCTTTCCCCTGTTTTGCCCAGCACTTCCCCTTGCTGCTGCCATGTGAAAAAGGATGTGTTTGCTTCTCCTCTGCCATAATTGTAAGTTTCCAAATGACTCCCCAGCCCTGTGGAACTGTGAGTCAATTGAAACATTTTCCTTTATAAATCATCCAGTCTTGGGTGTGTTTTTATTAGCAGCATGGGAATGGACTAATACACATGTACACCCTGGAAGCATGACGGAGTTAACCTGCCATGGAATAACCTTCAACCAGTGAGAGAAGGGGAACTGGTGAATGATGAGCACTCTTCCTTTGCTTCCCAGTTCATCATTCTGAGATGCTTTCTACACCATTCCTCAGAAGGGCAGAGTGGACTTCAGCTCAATTTCCCCACAGGGCAATCAGCTTAACACCACACACTCCTATTAGCTTTTGTTTCCCCTTCTTTCATTTCCCAGTACTCTACCCCCTTTTCACTGGGTAACGTCATAAAATAAGTGCTATGTGTAAGCCATTTCTCAGGCCCTACATTTTTGGTGCTGTTAGTGGAAGAATGAGCACCTAGGCCAACACAATTATCCATCTCATCCAGCAAGCTGACAGTTCCCAGAGGGAAAAAGGCACATTTCCTTCATTTACACATCCCCAGCTCCAAGAACCAGACCTGGCATGGATTAAGTGCCCAAATATTGATTGAACTTATTGAACAAAACCCGTGAGGTCTATAAGAGCAGGAATCGCATTATTCATTCATTCATTCGTTTAACAAATATTTGTTTATGTGCTTTCCATGTATCAGGCATTGACCTACTGACTACAGGAAGAGGTAGTGAACCAAGTCTCAGCCCTCATGAACCTAATACCCTAGTAATGGAAGAAACACATCAATGTCTATTCAATACCTGGAATGCTAAAAATATCCTGTATAAAAATATATACAGGAGTGGCATCTAGGTTAGGAAGAATGCATTATTTTATTTAGGGTAGTTAGAGCAGGCCATACTTAGGGATTTAGGAATCTACAGCCAAGTTGACAGTAAGTCATATGAAGGGCTTGAGGGAAAATTCAAGCAGAAAGAACTCAGAGCCTTGAGGCATAGGTAGGCGAAGGAGACCAGTATGGCTGGAGCAGGATGAGCAGGGAAGGATAAGGAGGAGATGCAGAGGGGTGAGAAGTAGAAGTGCTGAAGCACAGAGTGCTCTTCTGATAAGGCCTCAAAAGAAGCAAATGCTGATGCTATACTTCTTTTACAGTCTGGGACAACTGAGAACCACAGAAGTCACCTCAGACATCCACTCTAAGTGAAATGAATGGGTATTAGAGAAATCTGAGGAGAGGACTTCACATTTTAAGGGATTATTATGTTGTGTTGAAGATAGAATGAGGCAAAGTGGAAATAAGGAGACAGGTTAAGAGACTCTTCAACTGATCAAGGGAAAAATTTACATTGGCTTGGTCCAGAATAGCAGAGGTAAAGTTGATGAGAAGCAGATATATTTTATAGCAAGAAATACCAGGATTAACTGATGGATGGAATAAGAGAGAAAAAGAAGAATTGAGGATAACTCCAAAGAATCTGCATGAACTACTGGAAGGATAAAGTTGTCATTTTCTAAGAGTGGATAGACAGTAGCATAGGCCAGGTTATGAGGTGGTAGAAATAGGAAGTTCAATTCTGGGACTCTTAATTTTGAGAAGTCTATCAGACAGCAAATTGTACAAGTGGTGATGTCAAATAAGCAGTTGAATGCACAAGTCTGGACTGCAGATGAGAGACTTCACCTAGGGATATAAAGCCATTTAGTGTTATAAATCCTATTTAAGACCATGTAATGGAATGACATCAGCTAGGGGAAACCACAGATGGAAAGTGGAATAAAAGTGAGAAGTATGTCCTAAAACATCCCCACTTTTAGAGGTCTGGGGGATGATGATGAGCAAGTGAAGAAAGCGAATGAAGAAAAGAACAGAGAGAAGGATGAACTAGAAGACTAATGGAGGAAATGTTTCAAGGAGGAGAGAGAAATGGCCGTGTCACCTGCTGCTGATAGATAAAGTAAGATGAGGACCAAGGAACGACCTTGGAGTTTATCAATATTGCAGTTATTGGTGACACTGGCAGGCTGGCAGGAACTATTTTGATGGAAAGGTGGAGATGGATATCTGATTGAAATGAGTCAAGAGAGAAAGGGAAGAGGGGGGATTTTTGGCCACTTCTTAATTATCTTTTTCCTTAGAGATATGGTATTTTTTATGTAGTGAATTATATGGATTATGAATTCTGTGTGACTCATGAATTCATCTAAGAGACAGGAGCTCATCTCTAAGATATTACATTTCCCTCCATCATTTCCTGAGCTATGAAATAATCAACAGTTTCAAAATAATATTCTCCCCATGTCAACAATTATTCATTTGGTACCTGTTATATTTTTAACATAACCCTATAAGGAAAGTATCATTTTTATCCCCATTCTATAGATGAGGAAACTAAGGCATGTAGAGCTTAAGTAATTTGCTCAAGGTCACATAACCAATATATGTCACTGCCTTCCAAGGGAAGAGTAAGCATTTGGGGTATTCAGGATTTCCATTTCTTGGTCTCTTGGGGCTACAGTTTCATCTTTACCAGCTTTCCTCTAATAGTGGGTTCAGGAGTGGGATAGCTTTCATTAAAGATCAGGGGATTTTCTGAACAGACCCCTGCAGAGATGAAAACCTTGGCTATTGCTACAAAATAAAAGATACAGCACATGCTCCCGCATCTGCCTGCTCCTGGGTTTTCTGTAGGCTGGTGAATAATTTTTTTTCTCAGTGTTTCATCTGCACCTTTTTTTTAAGCTAAAGAGAAAGTTCCCTTTGAGTAGAAAAAACAGTGGTATCTCTTTTACAAAGAATCTGTGTGTATACATAATGTTTCATGGCCAAGTAAAGAAAGCAGCAAGGAAGAGAATATTGAAGCAATGCAAAATACTTTGTCTTTTAAATTTGAATTCAACATTTTCTGTCCCAGGAGACAATTTTTCTTTCCTTCCTGATTCACTATTATTAAACATTGTGCTGCTATATTATTTGCCTTTCCACTAGGTCCACATCATCCTATAAAAATAAATAATAAAATAGATATTATCTCAAACATGTCCTGACCACATAAGATGGGGTGACATTTGGATTTAGGCAAACTAGATTTAAGTTTCAGCTCAATCATTGCTCTTGTATCTGAGTGGCTTTTGCTTGGTCTATCATAATGAACTATCTTCACAAAGACAAACTGGAATAGAGAAGAGGATCTATGGTATTCTGACCCCTTATTACTCATTTCCATCATTCTAGATCCCATTCTCTTTTTTTCTAGGCCACTGAAACAGTCTCTGAATTATTTTCTCCACATCAATTCTTGTCTTCCTTTAATTCATTTCCTACACTAAAGTCCAAGTGACATTTTTAAAACACAAAAATTGACCATGTTACTCTTCTCATTTAAAGACTTCAAAGATAGGTATTCATTGCACTTAAGACAAAGAACAAATTCTTTAAACTACTCATAATCCCATCAGATCTAGTCCCTGCCTACTTCAGCTGTTAATTATACACCATTCTCTCTATCTCCATTTTAGGACTCTGTCCATACTGGCCATGTGGCTTTTCCAGCTTTTCATGCCATTTGTTCTATCTGGAGAGCTTCCTGACACATTACTCAGCCTTTAATTAATTGCTACTCAACTTTTATGTAGAACTCAACTCAAATTCACTTCCAAAGGGTAATATTTTTTCATGCTCCTACAATCCCTCTAGAATAGGTCCATTTCCCTTGTGATGTGTTCTCAAATACTCTGTCCTTCTTTGTAGAACTCATTAAAAGTGAAATTAAATATTTGCTATGTAATAATTTATCTGATGACTGTAATCTCTAATAGAAAGCAATCTTTGTAAGGTAAAAACTGTCATTTCTCATCACATAGCCCTCTGTCTTGTATATCGTTGGCACTCAATAATTATTTAATGAATAAATTCAAGACTTTTCATTTTCTGTATCTGTGAAATGGAAGTGCTTCCTATATTTCTACCTTGCAGGGGTCTTCTAGGGCCTAGAGATACTATATACCCTTTGCATGCATATTAATCTGTTCTCATGCTGCTATAAAGATTGCCCTTAGACTGGGTAATTTATAAAGGAAAGAGGTTTAATTGATTCACAGTTCTGCATTGCCGGGGAGACCTCAGGAAACTTACAACCACAGCGAAAGGCAAAGGAGAAGCGGGCATCTTCTTCCCAGGGTGATAGGAAGGAGTGAGTGCAAGCAGGGAAAATGCCAGACATTTATAAAACTATCAGATCTCATGACACTCACTCACTGTCACCACAACAGCATGGGGGAATCTGCCCCCAGGATCCAATTACCTTCACCGGGTCCTGCCCTTGATACATGGGGATTATGGGGATTACAATTCAAGATGAGATTTGGGGTGGGGACGCATCCAAACCATAACAGCAGATGTGTGTTTAGTTCATAATGATGCATCCTTCTTTTAAAATTGTTTTCTCTTTCTCTTTAGGAAATAGTTTTTCATGGAGGTAAAGTTTTCGTAGCTTATGTGTACTGAGAATACAGCTGAGTGGACCTTAAACTGGGCCACTCAGGAGCCATTCATCAGGAGTTTTGAATTGAGCCTGTTATATGTCAATTTATTCTGGACTCATCTTTGAATGGAGGGATATACAAAACAAACAAAACTAAAAGCAAAACAAAACAAAACAAAAACCCACACAGACACAACAATAGCATCAACAGAAACCTAAACGAAAATTAGAGAGGTAAACAGTGGATATTTTCTACTCTTTGGTCAAATGTAAGAATTTGGACCAAGTAGCAGATAAAGTTAACATGCAATAAATAAATAAATAAATAAATAAATAAATGCAATGGCACAGATGTGCAGAGAGAAAATGAGACAGAATTGGAGGAAAAAAGACTCTGCATTCCATATACTTTCCCCTCTCCTGATTCTGCCGGTTTTGTGAGGCTTGACTGCCTGGTGCCCTTGAGCTGATTTCACAAGATAGCTCTGTATCCTTTATAATGAATTCTTCCCTTCCCTGCATAAGTCAACTTCTCAGTGTCTATTGCTGTAATTAAAGAATTCCAACTAAAATAATATTTGAAAATACTGACAGAACCTAGTAGGTACTCTATAAATGATAATTGGTATAAGTATACTTACCTCAAATGCTACTACTTAAATGACACTTGCTTGTACTGGCTGAAATTTATTGAGTATATTCTACTTGATTGGTACAAGGACCCTTTCATATTACTCAAATCTTTACAAAATTTTTGTTAAATAGACTGCTAGGTGCTTTGCATATTGCATTTAAATTTGTTCTATATGTACCTGGGTTCTTTACCATATGCAAACATGGCAGTGGGTGAGCCTCTGCTATTATTTATTTATCACTGGCACCTTGAACAGCTCCTGGCATATTAATGTGCATGAACACATGTTTGTTGACTGAATAACTGATTGCCCTTGTGTAAGTTTCTCTCAGAGTCATGGTTTTCTTACTTTGAACTAGGATATTTATACCTATCACACAGAATTAGAGCAAAAATTAGATGACAGATGTATAAGTCATCAGAAAATATCAAAATAAAATATGAATTGCCATTAGTACTCTTGTAGTTGGGCAGGGTACTGCCATCAACACTATCTAACACATGAGAATCCTGAGGCCAGAGTGGTCATATGGTATGCCCAAAGTTAACAAGTGTTAAATATTAAATAGATCATTGAAAAAAAAACCCTATATCCTCATATATCAGGTATGGTTTATGCAAAATAGACCTGAAGCAAAATCTATTTTAGAGGAGGAAAAATATTATATTAGTTAATGAAAGCAGAATGTATTTATCAATGACACTGAAAAAAAACAGACAAAATAAAATGGCCAAGGATCTTACAGTATGAGATGAGCAAATAACAGACAAGCCATTCAACTATAAGGAAAAATATCTCCAAATGAAGCTAAGTTGTATCAGCAGCACTCCCAGATGCCTCAGTTACGGGACTCCACCTCATCATGACACTATCACAAGATGAGCCTCTGGGTGACATGTGGTCTCAGTATGTACACCTTGAGGGACAGTCTGGAAACGAACTGGGATAAATTTTACACAAAGGTAAAATGATGTTATGATAAAGAGGAGAGGAACTGAGTTGCTGAGCCTATGAAATGAGGAACATTCTAGCTCTTAAGACTCTTTCAGTGGCTCATTAATGTATTCTTAGTCAATGTAAATAAAGTAAATTATTTGAGTACTTGTGGCCTCACTTCATCTATCTTGTGGCCATCCACTGGTTAATGATTATATCTTCTTGAGTGTATAAAATAATATCTCAAAATTAGCATGCCAAAAACTTATTTCTTGATCATTACCACTTTCCACCAAAACAAAACAAGATAAAACAACACATCCTACCTTCCCTCCTGGCTTCCCCATGTAAGCACTGATACCCTTATCTTTCTGGTGAGTAAAGTCAAGGTCTTCCTTGATGTTTCTATTCCTCTAATACACTTTGTCAATCTATCATCACATTTTGTTGGCTTAATCTTTAAAATATGACCACTTCTCAATAATTTACCGTTACTACCCTGGCCTAAGTTGCTATCATCTTTTGGCTGGAGGAGGCAATAGACTTCTACTGGTCTTTTGGCTTCTTCCTTACCTCATTTCAGTCTGTTTCAAATATAACAGCCAGATTGACCTTAAAATCTTTACTGGACACTCACTTTTTACAGTATTTTTGCCTCTGTATTAGAGTTCTTCTGAGATAATTAACAGGAAAGGAGACTAGATAGATGACAGACAGACAGACAGACAGATAGGAAGGGATTTATTAGGGGAATTGACTTACGTGATTATAGAGGCTGAAAAATCCCATGATAGGTTGTCTTCAAGTGAGAAATATTGGGATGTCAGTAGTGTGAGTCACTCCAAATCCAAAAGCCTCCGAATCAGGGAAGCCAATGTGTATAATTCTCAGTCCAAGGCCAAAGGCCTAAAAACCCAGGGGAAAGGGGTTGCTGACATAAATCTTGGAGTCTCAAGACTGGAGAGCCTGGGATCCTAATATTCAAGGGTGGAGGAGAAGAGTATGTTTCAACTTCAGAAGAGAGAAAGCAATTCACCTTTCCTCTGTTCTATCCAAGCCCCCCAGCCCATCTGATGGTCCTTGACAATATGGAGGGCAGACCTTTCCCACTTAGTCCACTCAGACTCTCATAGCAATCTCCTCTGGAAATACGCTCACTAATACACCAGAAAATAATACTTCATTGATTATCTAGGTATTCCTTAATCCAATCAAGTGGATATCTAAAATGAACCATCACATCAACTCATTAAGGAAAAAAATGCCAAAATCATGACAATGACCTACAAGACGTAACACAATCTACTCAAACAGAGCCTACAAATAAATATTGAAACAATACGATAGGTCTCCATCTCTATTCATTATCTTAAAAGAATATCTTCAACATACTTATTTTTATTTAGGAAATAACAGATAAAATGAATTATACATAAGTGCTATATTCTAGTTAATAAAGTTATTTCACTTGGGGGGATCCACAGTTCTGAAATCACTGTGCCTGTATACTGGAACTGAACATTTAAGTAAATGGATTGCAAAGAATGGGAGCTGGGTTTCTCACTGTTAGAGTGGGGGGCCACAAATAAGCAAAAGTAGGAGCTATAATGATATATGTGGCAATGAATTAGAGTTTGAGGCATCAGTATAAACTTATGTTTTGCTATGGATAATATAAGTAGTTACATATGGAAATATTTACAGATACATAGATTAATAGACACACATATATTTATATATTTGCTCTGTTAGCTGGAAAAGTCTAGAAGCAATGACATCTCAGCAACAAGCATACCAAGTGCTCAGATCCCAGTTTATAAAACTATTTCTCCAATAAAAGGAATCAGGACCCTTTGGAGAAATAACCAACTCTATGCCTGTGGCTGGAATTATACAAAATGAGCTTAGGGCATCTTGTAGAACCAGAAGGGAAGTGCTCAAACACAGACACACAGACACACACACACACACACACACACACATGCACACACCACCTGCACTCTGCACTGGCGAGATATGTCAAAGGACACAAGAGCCAACTCACAGGTCTCTCAATGGCCAAAGTGAGAACAATCTGAGCAACAAAACAAATATAAAGTCGTGTTGGATAATGATCCAGAGTATAAAATAAATATCCATAACCCTATAACACTATAAATAAGCGATTCATAAGGAAGAAGAAATACGCCTCTCAGATGTAGAACTTCACATAATTTATGCAAATGTTAGACCCTAAAGGAGGGGGAGATAAACCTCCGATTCCCTAGTGTGGGCTGTGTAAATAATTTCCCTCCAATGAGTATAATATGAAAAGGGGTGGGGAAGAATAACTTGATGATAGAGAAACCTAACAAATTCTATTTTACCTGGGTGATCAAGGTTAGCATCAACAGTAATAAGTCATGTCAATATTATATACTCTGGGCATAATATGGTGAAAATAGCACTTTGCCTCTGTGCTTCATTCTCCAAACCCATAACCTCAATCTAATTATGAGAAAACATCAGACAAATGCTGACTGAGGGACATTCTACAAAACATCTGACCAGAATTTCTCAAAACTGTCAAGATTTCCCAAGTTTGAGAAACTGTCTTAGCCAAAAGGAAACTAAGGAAATATGATGAGTAAATGTGCTGTATCCTGGATGAAATTTTAGAACAGAAAAAGGACATTAAGTAAACAAACTCACTCTCACACTAAGTTAACCTGAATAAAGTACGGACTTTATTTAATAATAATATATCAATATTGGTTCATTAATTGTGACAAATGTACCATACTAAAAATCAGATTTTAAAAATAGAGGGAACTAGGTGTGGGATATATAGGAACTCTCTGTACTATTCAGTAAATACAAAACTATTATAAAATAACAAAGTTTTATTTTAAAAAAAACAGCATGTAAAAGTGGTTTTACTTGCTAAAATTCTCTATCATTGTTTATACATACATAGATATCTTAAAAGATGTTCTTGAAAATATTAACAATGATGTGAATTGGTAAAGTGTTTCCTTAAATGATTTCTCTGTTCTGTTTTTATTTTTACTTTTATTTTTATTTTATAGAAATGAGGTCTTACTTTGTTGCCCAGGCTGGTCTCGAACTCCTGGGCTCAAGCAATCCTCCCCCCTTAGCCTCCCCCTAATGCTGATATTACAGGTGTGAGCCACCACACCAGCCAGTTATTATTTTTAAGTGTTATTAATACATGTATTATTTTATTTAAAAGCTATCTATCTATCTATCTATCTATCTATCTATCTATCTATCTATCATCTATCTATCTATGAAAAGAAGGGCCATGTCCTTGGGGCAGCCTGCCACTTTACTCCTAAAATGTATTTTTCTTTCTTATTAATAAGAATAAGCCCCTACTTTCCTTGCAGAAGGCTGTAGAAACATCTCCCGCAAGCAGCACTTTTTGGTCTGATAACAAACCCCCAGCTTTACTCTTTTTTCTTTCCACTGGGGCAGTTTCTAACAGTTTGAGAGAGCTAATCAAAGTAATTGTTGAATCTTGATGACCAGAGCTTCACATGCCAAGCATTTTCTCCCAAACTGGGTTATTTAGAGTCCAGTGAAGCTGGGAATAAATATATAAAGCTAAGTAATTTAGGGAGATTGAATAATTTCCAGAAAATTTCTTTCACTTGGAAGCATGAAATTACATGCACTATAGTGGAATGAAATCAAATCAATCAGCAGCTCAGAATCTCCCGGCTCTACAATCAGCAGGAGCTCAGAAGCTGCTCACTGGGAGGGAAGCTGAAGTTTGGTGGAATACAAAGAGACTGATACCTTGTTACCTGGGAGATCTAGCTTTGGTTGCTGATGAGAGGTGTGCATAGGAGAATGCAGGTTGATCAGAGGAAAGGTGGAGGTGCAGGGTGATTGCCCTAACACCTAACTAACCAGAATGACTCCCTGCCAGAGTCATTATTCATTTCCTTGGATAAAGTCCAAACTCCTTAGAGAAGAATATACTTTTCTTGGGGACCTAATCCTTACCTCCTTCTTAAGCTTATTTTCATCACTTCCTCCCTCACACCCACATTCAGCCATATCAGCCAGATCCTTCTCATGGATTTGTGAATGACCAAGCTCTCTTAGGCCTCTCTGTCTTTGCAGCAGCATGCCAAGAAGACCCAGAATGCCTGTCCTCTTCCTCATCGCCTGGCAAATTGAGATTTTACCTCCTCCAAAGCAATCGCTCTAATGCCCTCGTTTTAAGAAAGTATCCAGGTCTACCTTCATGAAACATATTGAATTAAGATCTATTATAGCACATACCATATCAGATTTCCTGGTCTTTCTTTTCACAGGACTGTGCACTTTTTGAAAATAGAAACTTCACCCTCTACTAGGGTATTGTGAGTATGTAACATAGTATCCAACACTTAGTAGGTGCTTAAAAACTGCTTGTGAATGAGGAATGAACAAATGAATTTGGCAGCTTATGAAAAAATGTTAGAATTTGGAGTAATTCACTTAAAATGTGCACGTGCACACATGCACACACACATGCACACACACGTACACACACACACAGTGAGGATTTCCAACATTCAGAAAACTTTGCTGAAAGGCATCCACAAAAGCAGAACACTGCAGCCTGAAATGAATACAAAGCCTAACATGCAAGGAAAAATAAGAAATATTTCTAAAATGAACCTATTCCAAATGCCAGCTTTTCTAATATTTTTTTCTATGATTTGCAAAAATAAATAAATAAATAAATAAATAAATAAATAAATAAAAGTCCCCTATGTATCAGGGTAGAAACAGAGGCAGAGGACATTCACAAACACCATAAATCAGCTGAAGTCTCTCATAATCAGGTGGGTGTCTGTCTAAGAGAATGTCTCCTGGAGTGCATCAGTAATTAGGGAGCTAATGGAAAATTACCAACCAACAAAATCTATGACCGTTCCGAGGACAATGGAATCCCAGGCTTAGAGTACCACAGGTTTATTAAGAACAAATCATGCCCAAACATTTTGATAGCTTTTTTGATAGTGGCTGGCCAATTCCTGCCACACTTGCTCCATTGCCTCTACATTGCCTTCTAAATCAATTTAAAATGTCTTCTTTTGAGTTGACCTTCAAGGCTCTCCAATATTTGGTTTATTACTTTGCTTTTCTCTCCCCTCTCTCTGTTTCTCCTGTTGGCATCTCTCCTGGCTTTTGTCTTTGATTGTCTGCTCTGACTTTGTGTTGACCCTTACGTAACTGTGGCTTTGCACATGTTACCTGTTCTACTCCAAAAGTCTGTCCCTTCTTTAGACTACCTAGTAAAGTTCTATACATCCTTCAAAGACACTATCAGGAACCTATGCTGTCCCGGCCAGTTTCCAACATCAGAGGTGGTAAATCATTCCTTCATATTCCCTTCTATATGCACCTGTTGCTAGGCTATAATGTAATTTATGTTTTACTTGTATATTTTCCCCATTAATCTGTGAACAGGGGCACCGGAATGAAAATTTCTCTAGGGCAGCGATTTCTGTCTGTCGTGTTCACTGATGTTGCTTAAGTACTGAGAACACACACACCTTTCTTCCCCAGGCCCCTGACAGTCACATGCACACACACTTTGATAAATAAATAAGTTCCCCCATAGTAAGACTGTTATCTTATATAAAATCGTAACAGATGGCCTAACATATAATAGCTGCTCAGTGAATGACTCTTTATTGATGGAATGGTGCAGAATGGAAAGAAACAAATATAAACAAACTGACTCAATTCTATAACAGCATTTACTAACTCTTATGATACATATCCCCTATCTTACTAAAACATTTCTAGAAAATATTTCTGGATACTCTTAGCTTTATTCCACTTTTCCATTTACTGATATAGTAAACTATATGAAAATTAAAATAGCTTATAGTTATTTAGACCTATGTAATCAGTACTGTGACTTTCCAAGAATAATTAATTTAATCTTTACAATCATAACCTTGAGGTGGGTAATTTTGTTAAATTTAACTTTATTTTTAAATAATTACATATTCATATTCAGTTGTAAGACATAAGTCTAATAAGAGATTCCTGTACCTGTCATTCAATTTTCTTCAATGGTAGTGAGAGGTGACAGCGTGCTGGCAGCCCTAACAGCCCTCGCTCGCTCTGGGCACCTCCTCTGCCTGGGCACCCACTCTGGCCGTGGTTGAAGAGCCCTTCAGCCCGCCGCTGCACTGTGGGAGCCCTTTTCTGGGCTGGCCAAGACCAAAGCCGGCTCCCTCAGCTTGCGGGGAGGTGCGGAGGGAGAGGCACCGGAGGGAACTGGGGCTGCAAGCTGTGCTTGCAGGCCAGCGTGAGTTCCGGGTGGGCGTGGGCTCAGCGGGCCCCCCACTCGGAGCAGCCCGCCGGCCCCGCCAGCCCCTGGCAGTGAGGGGCTTAGCACCCGGGCCAGCGGCTGCGGAGGGTGTGCTGGGTCCCCCAGCAGTGCCGGCCCACCGGCGCTGCGCTCGATTTCTCGCCGGGCCTTAGCTGCTTCCCCGCGGGGCAGGGCTCGGGACCTGCAGCCCGCCATGCCTGACCCTCCCCCCATCCGTGGGCTCCCATGCGCCCCGAGCCTCCCCGACGAGCGCCGACCCCTGCTCAAGGGCGCCCAGTCCCATCGACCACCCAAGGGCTGGGGAGTGCAGGCGCATGGCGCGGGACTGGCAGGCAGCTCCACCTGCGGCCCTGGTGCAGATCCACTGGGTGAAGCCAGCTGGGCTCCTGAGTCTGGTGGGGACTTGGAGTACCTTTATGTCTAGCTAAGGGAATGTAAATACACCACTGGGCACTCTGTATCTAGCTCAAGGTTTGTAAACACACCAATCAGCACCCTGTGTCTAGCTCAGGGTTTGTGAATGCACCAATCCACACTCTGTATCTAGCTACTCTGGTGGGGACTTGGAAAACCTTTGTGTCCACACTCTGTATCTAGCTAATCTAGTATGGACGTGGAGAACTTTCGTGTCTAGCTCAGGGATTGTAAACGCACCAATCAGCGCCCTGTCAAAACAGACCCCTCTGCTCTCTGTAAAATGGACCAATCAGCAGGATGTGGGTGGGGCCAGATAAAAGAATAAAAGCAGGCAGCCAGAGCCAGCAGTGGCAACCCGCTGGGGTCCCCTTCCACACTGTGGAAGCTTTGTTCTTTTGCTCTTTTCAATAAATCTTGCTGCTGCTCACTCTTTGGGTCCACACTGCCTTTATGAGCTGTAACACTCACGGCAAAGGTCTGCAGCTTCACTCCTGAAGCCAGCGAGACCACGAACCCACCGGGAGGAACGAACAACTCCAGATGCGCCGCCTTAAGAGCTCTAACACTCACCGCCAGGGTCCGCGGCTTCACTCCTGAGCCAGCAAGACCACGAACCCATGAGAAGGAAGAAACTCCGAACACATCTGAACATCAGAAGGAACAAACTCCGCACACGCTGCCTTTAAGAACTGTAACACTCACCAGGAGGGTCCGCGGCTTCATTCTTGAAGTCAGTGAGACCAAGAACCCACCAATTCCGGACACAGTAGCATTTTGCAAAACTGTAATACGATGTCTTAACCAGGATATTGACATTGATACAGCCAAAATATAGGACATCTCCATCATCACAAGGATCTCTCATGTTGTCCTTTTATAACCGCACCAAATTCCTTCCTGCTAACCTCTTCCTAGCCACTGGGAAACACTAATATTAACTTTTCCTTCATTTCTGTTGTTTTTCATCTCAAGAATGTGATGTGAATGGAATCGTAGAGTGTGTGACCCCTTGTGTTTGGCTATTTTCAGTGAGTACATTCTCTAGAGGTTCATGCAGATTGTTGTGTGTCTCTCTCACAGTCTGTTCTTTTTAATAGCTGAGTATTATGTCATGGTACAGATGTTCCACGGTCTGTTTAACCATTTACCCATTGAAGGACATCCAGTTTTTGACTATTAGGAACAATGCTGCTATATGTACAGGTTTTTGTGTGAATTTAAGTTTTTATTTCTCTCAGATAAGCCTCCAGGGTGTAATTGCTGGGCTAAATTATAGAAGCATGTTGAGTTTCTTTTTTTAATAGTTTTCCTGAGTGACGGTGCATTTCCCATTTCTACCAGTAATGTGTCAGTAATCCAGTTTCTTCACATCTTCTTCAGAATTTGGAGTTGTCACTTTAAAAACAAAATTAGCCATTCTGATAGGTGTGTAGTAATATTCATTATGGTTTAATTTGCATTTCCCTAATGGCTAATGATGCTGAACACCCTCTTATGTGCTTATTTTTCATCTGTATATCCTCCTTCGTGAAATGTTGCTTAATGTATTTTGCCCATTTTATAATTGCATTGTTTAGTTTTTAACTATTGGGTTTTAAGAGTTCTTCATACTAGCTTTAGGGCCAGGCACGGTGGTTCACGCCTGTAATCCCAGCACTTTGGGAGGCCAAGGCGGGCGGATCACGAGGTCAGGAGATCGATACCATACTGGCTAACATGGTGAAACCCCGTCTCTACTAAAAATGCAAAAAATTAGCCGGGCGTGGTGGCAGGCGCCTGTAGTACCAACTACTCGGGTGGTTGAGGCAGGAGAATGGCATGAACCCGGGAGGCAGAACTTGCAGTGAGCTGAGATCGCGCCACTGCACTCCAGCCTGGGCTACTGAGCAAGACACCATCTCAAAAAAGAAAAAAAAAAAAAAAGTTCTTCATATTAGTTTTAGAAAGTAGTTATATGTTGGATTGTCCTTTACAAATATTTTCTCCTACTATGTAGCTTGTTATTATTCTCTTAACATGGTATTTTCCAGGGCAAAAGTTTTTAATGTTGATAACATCTAATGTATCAATTTCTCCTTTTATGGATCATGTTTTGGTGGTAAGTCTAAAACCTACTTTGACTAGCCCTAGGCCTCAGAGATTTTCTTCTGCTTTTTTGTTTTCTAATAGTTTTTATAGTTTTATTTTTTACATTTCGAATAAATTTTTGTATGTGAGATGAGACTTAGGCTGATGTTCTCTAAATAGAAAGAAAACTTTGGAACATCAAAAATGAACAAAGGACAGTGTAGAGCAAAAATATAAACAAATACAATATGCTTTCCTTTTTCTCTTGAGTTTTCTAAATCACAGTTGAGTGCTGAAACAGAAGTTGCAACACTGTCTGATGTGGTTCCACATGTATGTAGTAGAAATACTTAAGATAATTGTATTATAAATGAGGAATGGCAAAAGGTCTTACAGAGAGAGAAGGTTTCTCTACTTCAGTTGAATTGCTGAAATGATGATACCAGATGAGTGTGGTGTCTGCCCATTCATCTCTATCTGTTCTTTCTCTCTCTCTCTCTCTCTCTCCCTCTCCCTGTCTCATATCTATCAATGTATCTATTATGTAATACCTAAAGGAACTATTTTAAAAACTAAAAAATTCTCTTAGTTTTTCTTCATCTGAAAATGTTTTGATTTCCTTTTCATTCCTGGAAGATATTTTTGAAGGGCACAGGATTCTGGCTTGACGGTTCTCTCCTTTCAGTACTTGAAAAACATTATGCTTTTTTCTTCTTGCCTCTTTGATTTCTGATGAGAAATTCCCTATCACTTGAACCGCTGCCCCCAGTATGTAAGTTATCCTTTTTCTCCGCCTGCTTTAAAAAATTTTTTCTTTGTTTTTAGTTTCCTGAAATGTAATTATGATATGTCATAGCATAGATTTCTTTGGGTTTAGCCTGTGTCATTTTTACTGAGTTTTTTTTTTTTTTAACTGTAGGTTAATGTCTAGTTCAAATTTGGGAATTTTTCAGCAATTATTTCATTAAGTATTTTTCATACCTGCCTTCTTTTTCCTCTCCTTCCTGCACTCTGATAACACAAATGTTAGATCTCTTCTTCGTCTCATGCTCTGGAGTTCTGTTTCTTCCTTTCAGTTTGTTTGTTCTCTGTTTTGATTGTAAAATTTCTCCTGTTCTGTCTTCCTGGTCACTTATTCTTTCTTCTGTCTCCTCTATTCTGTTGTTTTTATTTTAGTTATTATATTTTTAAGTTCTACAGTTCCCAGTGGGTTCTTTTTAATGTCTTTGATTTATTTGTTCAATTTCTATTTCTTTTCTATTTTCTTCATTTGTTTCAAGTGCATTCATAATTACTCTTTGAAGCATTTTAATTATGGCTGCTTTAAAATCTCTGATAATTCTAACATATTTGTTATCTTGGTATTGGCATCTATAGATTGCCATTTTTAATTCAGTTATGAGATATTGCTGATTCTTGATATGACAAGTGATTTTTGATGAGAACTTGGATATTTTTGTAATATTTTCTGGAACCCTGGATCTTATTTAAACCTTCTGCTGTACCTGGCTTTTTCTGACACTGCTACAGTAGATGAAGGTGGAGGCAATTCTTCAATACTTCTAGGTGGAAAAAAAAAGTCTAAATTCCCTACTTGGCCTCTATTGTCACCTGAGGCAGGGGTGGGTTTCTACCTTATCATGTGGTTTTCAGAGACCATGGTGGAATGGGGGTGGCCTTGTAACCGTGGGGAAATAGTGAAAGATCTGACTCTTCAATAGGCCCCTCTGCTTCTGCTTCCTCCCAGCAGAGAGGGAGAAGAATGCTTCGTTTATGTCGGTTGTAGTGGAAGTCCAGTCTGCTCTCAGGGCCTCTACTGACACTATGTAGAATAGTGGAGGCTTGTTACTTGCCAGCCGGGATGAAAGGTCCAGCTCCCTATTCAATCTTCTCTGGCATCATCTCAGCGGCAGTGTTGCTGTGCCTCATCACAACCTCATGAGGATGAAAATGCTGAGTCCCTACTTGGCCTTTTCTGGCATTGGCAAGTAAAGAAGGCCACTGTTTATTCTGTGGCATTTGGTTGGAGTAGAGCAGTTATTGCCTAAAAGCATTCTATCTTTCTAGGCTGCCCCTCTCCTTGTCCTTTGCCTAGAGAGAGCGGCTTCTTCTGCTTCTTCATTTTTTTTTATTTTTTTTTGTCTGCACTTGTTGGCATTTCGAGGTTGCCAACTCTTTCAGTTCTAAGTCTTAGCTATATGAGGCAAAAATAAAATCCTGGGAATTCACCATTGTGTTTTATTCAGGTCCCAAGTTCCCTTGGCAGTCTGCCTTCTCTCCACCTTTCAGAGCCTCCTTATGTTTGTTGTAAGTATAATGGCCAGGACTTTCAATTGTTGTTAGTGGGAAGAATCAGGTAAAGTACATCTATGCCATCTTCCTAGAAGCAGAAATCCCCCTGCCTTATTTTTATTACTAATCCCATCTTACAGATGAGGAAACCAAGGTATAGAATGGGTGAGTACCTTGTCCATGGTCAGACAGTTATTCAGTGGTAGAATCAAAATTTGAACTCAGGCCATCCAGTGCCAGAGTCTGGATTTAGAATTTCAATTGAAAGCATAGGTGAAGCTAATTGTCCCAATCTAATTAAGACTGTAAAACAGTACTCATCCATGTAGGGGGATAGATAGGTTTTCATTCATACCAGCCCATGGGGGCTGAGATTGCTTGCTTCTTTGTGTTTATAAGCTATACAGGGCTGTCCACGGCTTCCACCAACTAGTGCTATGCTGGCTTTTCTAGAAATTAGCCTTACATCTTTGTTTCTAATTGGCTTTTCTGTTATTCTACTAGTACTGGCACTTCATAGGAACTCCTTATAATTATTAATAGCTCACTTTGGGAAGCTTTTACTCTCCATGGATTAAACCCCATTAACTGAACCATCGCCCTATAACTGCCTGTGATCCAGCCCCCAGCCACAGAGTTTCCAGAGGTTACTCAGTATTTCCAACTGATTCTACCATATTGAAGATCAAGATGGGGTTTTCTTGGGGATGGGGACTGACCTAGCTCAAGTCCCTGTTTAATAAGCCTTTGCACACAGGCATTTGGCCTGCTGCCCCTATCACAGTTCCCCTGGAGTACTTCAGCTTGCTCTCCATTTGATCCTGGTTCTTCCTCCAAAATTCCTGTAGATAGGGGCCAAAGGGACTACAGACCTCATCCCACTGTAGTAGATATCTTTATACCAACTATTTCAAACCATGTATTTATATTATTGTTGGATTTTTTGATAAAATCATAGACTATCAGTTCTGGAAGTAAAACCCTTTCATTTTGCAGAAAGGAAACCAGGTTGGTGGGGTTAGGGAGGGGAGTCTTATTTCACAAAATGACATAACCAAGTTATTCAGGAACTTAGCTGTGATTAGTGCTAGAAATTAAGGTTCATGGTGCCCAGTAGCCTTTGATTTTGCAGTGTGGTCTCATTAGCATACTAATTCTGCTTTTAAATATTTTAAATTTTTATAGATACATAATAGTTGTACATGTTTATGGGGTACATGTGAAATTTTGATACATGGATACAATGTGTAATGATCAAATCATGGTAACTGGGATATTCATCACCTTAAGCATTTATTATTTCTTTGTGTTAGGAACATCCCGATTCCATTATTCTAGTTGTTTTGAATTATAAAATTAACTCTAGTTAATTATAGTCACCCTATTGTGCTACAGAACACTAGGAGAACACTAGGTAAGATTTCTTCTACCTAACTGTAGTTTTGTTCTCGATCCCTTATACACATTCAGCTTAAAGAATTCTCACCACTAAGACCCAAAAGTACCATGTCACTTTTGTGCAGTTATGTTAATATCCCTTATTCTGAAATGATTCTAGCTCTTTTATAAGTCAGCATAATCTAGTGGTCAAGAGCACAAGATGGAATTAGACAGCCTTGAATTCAAAGCCTGGTTCTCTCACGAATCTCAAGTACTTACCCTCTAAACTGTAGTTTCCTCACCCAATAAATGAAAGTGGTCACAGCACCTACTGCTATGTAGGTTGTAAGATGTAAAAGACACATTCTAAAGTATTTGGGATAACATCTGCAACTTATTAGATATTAAATGTAAAGAATTTAGTGGTAATATTGTCACGTATTTTTTACTCCAACCTAAACTATGAGGTAGCTTGGAAAACAAATTTATCTACATATTACAGATAAGAAAACACAAATATTACACTTGCACAACACTTTGCAAGTATATAGGCAGCCTTTACATCTGGTTGTTCTTAGTTACTATCCAAAGGACCCATGTGGTAAATTGTACTATTCCCATTTTAGGGATGTTGACAACAGGTGAAGTGACAAAGCTAGTTAGTAACCATTGAGATGTAAACTCCGTAAAGACAAGAGCTTTGAGTGTTTGGGTATCATCATTAGGTAGAACACTGCCTGACATGTAGTAAGCAGTAAGAAATATTTAGTGAGTGAAAAAACCAAAGTAATAAAATTATCCTCAAACAATATTAAATACTGCATGAGCACAAAGATCTCTCACTGTCTGTAGTCTGCCATCATTGTTCTTCATCTGACAGTTTTCTCCGTGTGATATTTCATATTATTGAGGGATTACTTTACCAAAGAGAATGTCTATAATTTCTAATTTGCTCTAATAAATTTTTGCCCTTTAACAGATGCATGACAACTGTACTATACTGTGTTTTGAATTCCAATTATTATAAGACAGATGCCTGCCCTTTTCTACAAAGCTCAAAGCTTTGTGAACTTTCACTGTTAGTTGCATTTCATATTCATAAATGGACATTTTTACTAAGTGTGTGAGCATGTGCTAAGTGTCTATTTAAATCACCCAGAGAGTTACATAGCACTTAGTTGGAGTCGATAGGAAAATATATACATATTCAAATATATTTAACACAATTTTATAACTCTATAATATGGTCATCATCAATAAAACAGCACAACAGTAATAAAACTTGGATTTTAGTACCATTTATTTACCACTCAAGTACTGAGTTCTTTATGATGAAGCTCTGTTTAAAGATCATTTAACACTATGACTAGCTAGAGACAGGTTCATGTCCTGACTCTCTCATCATCATGGGTTGTGTGATCTTTAGCGTTACTTTGCTCATCTTCTTTTTTCATATGAAAATTTGGAATAATGATGATGATGATAAATATCAACTAGCATGCTCATGGTACTAACTCTATTAGGCAATGCTCACAAAAACTCATATATTATTAACAATGACCCTCTGAATGGACACTGTTTCCTCTCCAATTTACAGATGTTTGGCTCACAGGTAGAATTAAATGATTAAGTATATATGGAAAAGACTGTACTACCAGTGAAGTCCTATATATTGTTAGTTACAACAGCTTCTTTCCATCACATTTCCATGGACTATCACAATTTTTATACAAAATCACATAGACAGACCTGGTTTTAAAGTAAGGTGCCACTTCTTTTTGTTTGTTTTTGTTTTTCTGAGATGGAGTCTCACTCTGTCGCCTAGGCTGGAGCACCGTGGCACAATCTCCACTCACTGCAACCACCGCCTCTCGGGTTCAAGTGATTCTCCTGCCTCAGCCTCCCAAGTAGCTGGGATTACAGGTGCCCACCACCATGCCCAGCTAATTTTTTGTATTTTTAGTAGAGACGGGGTTTCACTATGTTGGCCAGCCTGGTCTTGAACTCCTGACCTTGTCATCTGCCTGCCTCGGCCTCCCAAAGTGCCAAGATTATAGGCATGAGCGACTGCACCCAGCTAAGTTGCCACTTCTTATTATCTTCTGACCTTATACAATATATTTAAATATTCCAAGATTCAAATTTCTCACCTGCAAGATGGACATGATATAGAACCTAACTCATAAGATTGTTCTGAGGATTTACTGAGATGATGCTTAGTGCCTGGCATAATTGCGCAGTAATTGCTGGTTATAATGATGATAGAGATAATGGTGAAGATAAATGTATTTATTGGGAAAGTGGAGTAGAATATTTGAAATGGTGATAGCTCCTTACATTACTTGATGATACCAAAGTTATTTCAATGCAAAACAGTTTTTGGGTACATAACCTACTACTTTTAACTATAGTGATAGTACATAACTAAAATGTATCCTACAGTCATTCTAGCTCCAAGTCCAGTTAACTCTGTTTTATTTTATTTTTCATTAGATCCCTATAGCCTAAAAAACTTAAATGTCCTTTTAGAGTAATGTGTGTGAATCTGTTTAAATTATAACACTCTAAATTCCAAGATAGCCTAAATACTTACTAGAGATCCCAGCAAGTAAGAAAATTACCAAAAACTCAATACATTGATGATGCAAGTTTATGCATAGAGGATGATTTATTCAAGACACAAGGCAACTACATCATCAACATAAAAAAATTGTAAAAATGTATAACTAGCAGAAGGAACTGAAGATATTTAATCTATCCCCTTTTGGAGGTCTTTCATGAGTCATGAAACAGAGCTTATTATTTTCCTACCCAAACTCACCTGTCCTCTTATGTTCTATACTTCAGTAAATGATTCCTGTGGCTCCAACCAAAAATGTTGATGCCATACTCGATTCCCACCTCTCTGTTGCCATCTTTCTAAACAGTTTTCATGAGCTCAGACCTCCCTCAGATTTATTTACTTTTCTTTATTCTTGCCATCATGCTCCTTGTCTTGGCCTTCATTTTTTCCCACATGTACTACTGCAGCAGAATGTGTATTGAACATTACCCCTTCCAGTCCATTTGACATCCTATAACTAATAGGATCTTAATTTTAAAATAAGCACATCTTATCAATTCAATTTCCTTCTTTGAAATCTTCAGTGATTCCTCTGTCCCTGTAATAATGTCAAATTTTCTAATATGTTACATGGTCTACCCTTTTCCTACATCTCAAACCATCTGAAACTTCTTTCTTTACCTTACTTACTTCTCCCTTAAAACACAACGTGAGCTTCTCCCTTAAAACATAACATGAGCACACAATGAGCTTCCTTCACTTCTTCAACAGTGCCAAAGTTTTCTTTCCTCATCTGAATCTTTAAACTTCCCTCTGTCTAGGGAAGTTTTCTCCTCATCTTTCTTTACCTAGGTAATGGCTACTCAACCTCAGATAGTCCATTTATTCAACAATCTCCAGGAAGCCTTCTGCAAACCTTCAACCAGATTATGTGGCTCCTTTATTGCTTCCATAGGACTCCTTGTCTACCCTCGTTATAGCACTCAAATCTCTAAATCATAATTACCTTTCCTTTTGTGTTCCCTACTAGACTCAGTTCTTTGAGGGCACATCCTGTGTCTGATAAATTTGTCATTGCATCCTTAGGACCCATCTTAAAACAAGGCACAAATTAGAAGTTCAACACAGATTTTTCTTTTTTTTTATTATAATTATACTTTAAGTTTTAGGGTACATGTGCACAATGTGCAGGTTAGTTACATATGTATACATGTGCCATGCTGGAGTGCTGCACCCATTAACTCGTCATTTAGCATTAGGTATATCTCCTAAAGCTATCCCTCCCCCCTCCCCCCACCCCACAACAGGCCCCAGAGTGTGATGCTCCCCTTCCTGTGTCCATGGGTTCTCATTGTTCACTTCCCACCTATGAGTGAGAACATGCGGTGTTTGGTTTTTTGTTCTTGCGATAGTTTACTGAGAATGATGATTTCCAATTTCGTCCATGTCCCTACAAAGGACATGAACTCATCATTTTTTATGGCTGCATAGTATTCCATGGTGTATATGTGCCACATTTTCTTAATCCAGTCTATCATTGTTGGACATTTGGGTTGGTTCCAAGTCTTTGCTATCGTGAATAGTGCCACAATAAACATATGTGTGCATGTGTCTTTATAGCAGCATGATTTATAGTCCTTTGGGTATATACCCAGTAATGGGATGGCTGGGTCAAATGGCATTTCTAGTTCTAGATCCCTGAGGAATCACCACACTGACTTCCACAAGGGTTGAACAAATTAATTCAAGATGGATTAAGGACTTAAACGTTAGACCTAAAACCATAAAAACCCTAGAAGAAAACCTAGGCATTACCATTCAGGACACAGGCATGGGCAAGGACTTCATGTCTAAAACACCAAAAGCAATGGCAACAAAGGCCAAAATTGACAAATGGGATCTAACTAAACTAAAGAGCTTCTGCACAGCAAAAGAAACTACCATCAGAGTGAACAGGCAACCTACAAAATGGGAGAAAATTTTTGCAACCTACTCATCTGACAAAAGGCTAATATCCAGAATCTACAATGAACTCAAACAGATTTACAAGAAAAAAACAAACAACCCCATCAAAAAGTGGGCAAAGGACATGAAGAGACACTTCTCAAAAGGAGACATTTATGCAGCCAAAAAACACATGAAAAAATGCTCACCATCACTGGCCATCAGAGAAATGCAAATCAAAACCACAGTGAGATACCATCTCACACCAGTTAGAATGGCAATCATTAAAAAGTCAGGAAACAACAAGTGCTGGAGAGGATGTGGAAAAATAGCAACACAGATTTTTCAAGTGTGTGCCTACATGAAAAAATCAAATCAGAAGAGAAATGATTCATAAATAAAAACAAGTCAGTGTAAAGGGGTTAAATAGGGAACAATTTTAGATAAGGTAGTAAGAGAAGAAAACTTTAAGGTATTATTTGAGCAAAAAGACTTTAAAGGGAAAAATGAGCCAAGTGGATACTAAGGAACAGAGCCTTTCAGGCAGAAAGAATTAGGCAGAGTTTTTGAGGTTCAAGGGAATGATAAGGAGGCTAGTGTAGCTGGAGAACATTGAGCAGAGGGAAGAGTGGTAGTAGTCAGGTTTAGATCACACAATAATTTGTAGGCCAAAATAGACTTGAGTTTTATTCTGAGTGTACCCAAAATGATTGAAGGGTTTTAAGAATACCTGTACAGAACCTAACATTTATTTCTTAACTATTAATCATAACAAAGGATATTGAAAAACTATTCTGAGACTTTTAAGATGATTCACCTGGAGGAATGAAGTTTAGAGACATTAAAGATGTAAAGTCACAGACTGTTTTACAGATACAGAATTTAATCCCAGGTAGGCTGATTACTTTGCTAAAAATTATGCTGAAAATATATGGCCAGCAGAGATGAGAAGCCATGACTTTTGACTCCCTGCCTGGTTTACTTTTATAAGGATGAAGAAATACATGTGTTACTTGAGACCATATACATACAAGCTCCTAAATGGCCATGATAGGTATGACAAGTAACTTCAGATGTTATTAAACTTTATCACATTTTAAATATCTATTCATAAGAATTTTCAAGGCAACAACAGAGTTGCACTTATTATTTCTGTTTCTCATAGCATGTGCCATAGAACACCGACACTGAATGTGAAAGCGCAATGAATGTGTAGTTCACTTCCTTTGAATTCTTTCTAAAGTGATCCAAAAATCATTAATTTTTCTATCAGGTATTTCTGAGCCTCTATTTTATGTAAGGTATCATGTTGGGTACTGGCATGGCAAAGATGAATATGCCATGGCATCTGTCCTCAGGGAACTTGCATCTTAGGGAGGATGACAGAAATGGAGGATAGTCATCATTGAACACAATGTGAAAAGGGGAATAATGAAACAGGACATTTTATAGTTTATCTAATGCTTTATAGTTTAACACATATAAGTATTATAATAATTTTTATTTTTACTTTTCACTTTATCTACAATTGTGTCTAATATGCACGCTCTTATTTAATTATCTTATGATCGTCTTATTATCCTATGGGCCATAAAATTTGCCCAATTTTTCTTCATGAGAAAACTGAATACAAGAAGGTTCAATAGCTTGGTCAAGGTCAATCAGTTTGCAGTAAAGCTTACAGTCAAACCCTAGCAGTTTGACTTTAGAAGCTACACTTTCAAAAACTCACGTATATTTTGAGAGACACTGGCTTATTTTTAAATTAAAATCTATGAGTGGTTATTTATTTTTTCACCATTTCATAGGCAAAAATGTTGGCTCCAAGGGGTTCAGAAACTTTTCAAGGTCACCATTGAGCCCACATTAAACTCCATGTTTTTTGATTCCAAGTATCATCTTATTCCACTAAAAAATGCTTCCTCTATACACATTTTTTGTGTATGTTAGAGAACTGGATGAACATAGTAATTTTGATGTGACTGGAGGTGAGGGACTTAATTAAGGAGGTGATACATGCTAAGTAGGACTACCTACTCTATTTTAAAATGTCACTGAAGAGGGATATTTTTCCACTACGAAATAGCAAGCTGCTTTTCCAGGTTAATTCTATTTCTAGAGAATGCAAATTCAGCTTTTCATTGAAGCTACTACATTCCAGATAGTACATGCCAATTTATTTGATCATTATTTTCCCTATCATTGCCAGGCTAAATCTTCTCAAACAAAAATCTGCTCCAATTCTTGTGCAAGCATAATTTTCTGACATTTACCTGAAAATCTAACTAGATATTGAATAAATGCAATTCCAGCTGAAATGGGCAAATGAAATTTCAATAAACTTACAGTAGTGTTTATCGTTAAAAATAACAATAACAATATTATTAAATACATGTTCATTACTGCTGTATTTATTTTATATACATTAAAAATGCTAATCTTCATAAAACTCAGGAGATAGGTATCCCCATTTTGCATAGGGCCTTAATGACTCCAGAAGTTAGATCACAGAGTTAAAAAGTGAATAGGGCAGAATAAATGACAAGAAAGATGGTAAAATAAAAAACTTCAAGCCCTCTTCTCCCCACAGAAACACCAATTTAACAGCCAGCCACAGACAAAAATAACTTTATGAGAGCTCCAGAATCCACGTGAAAGTCACAGCATAACAGTAAAGCACAGAAAAAGAAAAGATACGTTGAAAAGAGTAAGAACACTTTACCTATAACGCCCCTTCCCCAAGCTGGCATGGCACAGTGCTGAGAGAGATCCGCTTGGTTTGTGAATTATCTAATGGCGAATAAAGAGAATGAAATGAGTATTTGACTGCCTAACTTTTCAGGGCACTATCTGAGAGACCTGTGTCTGTTGTACTTCATCTAGAACACTGAATAAATCTGCATGGCTACATCATCTAGAGGTAGCTAAGAACAAAAATAAAGGGTACAGGGGCTCTCAACAACCAGCACACAGATCTCAACAGCAATCCCACAGACCCCAGCAGCAGACCCACCCAAGTATCTTACTAGCTGGCCTGTCTAGAATCCTTGACTAGGCTGACTGATGGAGGGCTTTTCCTGCCAAAAGCAATCTCCAAAGACAAGAAGAAGCCATTTCTTCTTCAAATATGCAGACAATAATGCAAGGCCACAAGGATAAAAAAAAAAAATCAGGAAAATATGATACCACCAAAGGAAAAAAATGAAGTTCTAATAACTGATCCTAAAGAAATGTAGTAAGTGATCCTATGAACTGCCTTACAAATAATTCAAAATTTTTTTAAAAGATCAAGGAACATAAACAGAAAAATGCATGAACTCAGGAAAACAATACAGGAAACAAATGAGAAATCAAAAGAAATATAGAGACCGTAAAAAAGCAACAAAGTTCTGAAGCAGAAGAATGCAATATTTGAATAGAAAAATTTAATAGAAAGCTTCATCAGTAGATTGGATCAAGTAGAAGAAAGAAGCAGCAATCTCAGTGACAGGTCAATTGAAAATATCCAGTCAAAGGAAAACAAAGGAATAAAAATAAAAAGACTAAACAAAGCCTGAGACCTATGAGATACTATCAAACAAGCCAATTTAAGCATTATGAAAGTTTAAGAGGGAGAAGATAAAGTGGGAGAAAATTTATTTAAAGAAATAATTGCTGAAAACTTCCCAAATCTGGAGAGGGAAATAGATACTCCGGTTCATGAAGCCAAACACCACAAATAGATTGAATCTAAAGAGACATGCACTGAAACATTTTATAATTAAATTGTCAAAAGTCAACAAAGAAGAGAATGATGAAAGCAGCAAGATAAAAATGACCTGTAACATAGAAGAGAATCTCAATAAAATTATCAGCAGATTTCTCAGAAGCAACCTTGTAGAGTAGGAAAGATTGAGATGATATATTTAATTGCTGAAAACATGCCAACCAAAAATACTATAGTTGGCAAAACTGTCATTTAAAAATACAGAAAAGATAAAAACTTTCCTAAGCAAACACAAACTGAGCGAGTTTGTAACCACTAGACCTGCCTTACAAGAAGTGCAAAGGGAAATTGTTCAAGTTGAAATGAAAATATGCTAAACAGCAACACAAAACCATATGAAAACATAAATATCACTGGTAAAGGTAAATACAAAAAAAAAAAACCACAGAATAGTATAATACTGTAATGGTAGTGCATAAATCATTTTAAACCTAGTATAAAAGTTAAAAGACAACAGTATTAAGAATATCTATAACTACACAAATTTGTTAACGGATTCACAACATAAAATGAAGTAAATTCTGAAATTAATAACATAAAGTTTGGGAAGGAGAAGTAAAAGTATAGTTTTTATGTATGACTGAAGTTAAGTTACTATACTAAGTTACCATTCTATAAAACAGAATATCATAACCCTAAGAAAGTTTTATCAATCATAACGCTAAGAAAGTTTTATCATGATAACCACAAGACAAAACCTGCAATAGATATTTTAAAAGATAAAGGAATCAAAGTATATCGTTACAAAAATAATCTAATCATAAAGGAAGACATGAGGGGAAGAGGGAAACAAAAGAACTACAAAACATTCAGAAAACACTTTTTAAAAATGTAGTAGTGAGACCTTACCTATCAATAATTACTTTATTTTTTTTATTATACTTTAAGTTCTAGGGTATGTGTCCACAACGTGCAGGTTTGTTAGATATGTATACATGTGCCATGTTGGTTTGCTGCACCCATTAACTCGTCATTGACATTAGGTATTTCTCCTAACGCTATCCCTCCCCTAGCTCCCCACCCCACGACAGGTCCCAGTGGGTGATGTTCCCCTCCCTGTGTCCAAGTGTTCTCATTGTTCAATTCCCACCTATGAGTGAGAACATGCAGTGTATGGTTTTCTGTCTCTGCGATAGTTTGCTCAGAATGATGGTTTCCAGCTTCATCCATGTCCCTACAAAGGACATGAACTCATCCTTTTTTATGGTTGCATAGTCTGCACAGCAAAAGAAACTACCATCAGAGTGAACGGGAAACCTACAGAATGGGAGAAAATTTTTGCAAGCTACTCATCTGACAAAGGGCTAATATCCAGAATCTACAAAGAATTTAAGCAAATTACAAGAAAAAATCAAACAACCCCATCAAAAAGTGGGCAAAGGATATGAACAGACACTTCTCAAAAGAAAACATTTATACAGCCAACAGACACATGAAAAAAAAGCTCGTCAACACTGGGCATCAGAGAAATGCAAATCAAAACCACAATGAGATACCGTCTCACACCAGTTAGAAGGGCGATCATTAAAAAGCCAGGAAACAACAGGTGCTGGAGAGGATATGGAGAAATAGGAATGATTTTACACTGTTGGTGGGAGTATACACTGGTTCAAACATTGTGGAAGACAGTGTGGCAATTCCTCAAGGATCTAGAACTAGAAATACCATTTGACCCAGCGATCCCATTACTGGGTATATATCCAAAGGATTATAAATCATGCTACTATAAAGACACATGCACACGTATGTTTATTGTGGCACTATTCACAATAGCAAAGACTTGGAACCAACTCAAATGTCTATCGATGATAGACTGGATAAAGGAAATGTGGCACATATACACCAATAATTATTTTAAATGTAAATTGATTAATGTTCCTAGTCAAAAAATATAGAATAGCTCAATGGATAAAACATATGAACCACCTACATGCTATCCATGAAACTCACTCTGGATATAAGGACACACTTAGGCTGAAAGTGAAGTGATGAAAGAAGATAATCCACATAAAGGGTAACAAAAAGAAGCTGGGGCTATGCTTATATCAGACAAAATACAATTTAAGTCAAAACTATCACACAAGACCAAAGAAAGCCATTATGTAATAATTAAAGGGTCAATTCAATTGGAAGATAAAACAGTTACAAATATACTTTCTTTTTTGTAGTATTGTGTCTCTCCATTATCTTTTTTAATTTCATTTTTAACTTTTAGGTTCAGGGCTACATGTGTAGGTTTGTTAATAAAGGTTAACTCGTATCACAGGGGTTTGTGTACAGATTATTTCATCACCCAGGTACTGATCATAGTACTCAGTAGTTATTTTTTCTGTTAATCTCCCTCCTCCTGCCCTCCACTCTAGAAATATATTTTTCCAGCAAACATCAGAGCACCTAAATATACTAAGCAAACACTGGCAGATCAGAAGGGAGCAATGGACAGAAATATAATAATAGTAGGAGATCTCAATATCCCACTATAAATAAACAATAGATCATCCAGAAAGAAAACCAATATAAGAACAGCACATGAACAACACTATGGACCAAATGGACCTAACATACATATACAGAACATTCTACCCAATAGTAGCAGTATACATGTATGTGTGTGTGTATATATATATATATATACGTCTATAGACATATATAGACGTATATATATACATATATGTACATAGACGTCTATATATACATATATATATTCTCCTCAAGTGTATATAGAACTTTCTCTAGAATACATTACATGCTATGTTACAAGAGACAAAAGTCTTAACAAACTGAAGTAGACAGAAATCATTCCAAGTATCTTTTCTGAACAAAATAAAATAAACTAGAAATCAGTAACAAAAGAAAAATGGGAAAATTTACAAACAGGTGAAAACTAAACAATATACTCTTGAACGAAGAAGATTGTATTTCAAAGGACATGAAAATGAAAGATACCAAAACTTATTTGATGTAGTAAAAGCAGTTCTAAGTGGGAAGATTATAGCAATAAATACTTATACTTAGCAAAAAGGAAAATCATAAGTATACAAATGAACTTTGCAGTTCTAGAAAGTAGAGAAGAACAAACTAAGCCTCAAGTTAGCAGAAAAAAAATAATAAAGATTAGGGAAGAAATAAACAAAATAGAAATCAAGAACAATGGAAAAAATGGCAAAGCTAAGAAATGTTTTTTTAATACAAATAAAATTGATAAACCCTTGGATAGGCTAACTGAAAAAAGAAAGAGAGAGAAGACTGAAATAAAATTAGAAATATGAGAGAGACATTATAACTGTTGCCATAGAAATATAATTATAATAAAGCATTACTATGAATAATTATATGCCAATAAATTTGGTAAACTGGAAGAAATAGATAAATTCCTAGAAACATACAATCTATCAAGACTGAATCTATAACAAATAGAATCTACAAGAAACAGGAAAACCAATAACAAATAAGGAGATTGAATCAGTAATCCAAAAACTTCCAACAAAGTAAATATCAGGACAAGATGTCTTCACAGGTAAATTCTAAAAAACTTTAAAAAATTAAAACACATTCTTCTTAAACTCTTCTAAATGATAGCAGAAAGAACACTTTCAAACTTATTTTATGAAGGTAGCATCATTCTGACACCAAAGTCAAAGACTACACACACACACACACACACACACACACACACACACACACTACAAGCCCATCAATGTCCCTGATGAACATAGATGTAAAAATTCTCAACAACATTTTAACAAACAAAATTTCACAGCACATTAAAAGTATTATACAAGGATTATACACTATGACCAAGTGGAATTTACCACTGGGTGCAAAGATGGTTGAACATACGTAAATCATATCAGTGTCATACAGAACATTAACAGAATGAAGAAAAAAAAATCACAGGATCATCTTAAAAGATGTGCAAAAAACATTCACCAAAATTCAACACTCCTTATTAATAAGAACCCTCAACAACTTTCATGTAGAAGAAACTTACCTCAACACAATAAAAATCATATAGAGAAGGCTTACAGCCTATAATTATGATCAATGATGAAAAACTGAAATATTTTCCTCTAAGTTCTGGAAAAAGCCAAGGATATCCACTTTTACCACTACTATTAAACACAATACTGGAAGTCCTAGCTAGATCATTTAGGCAAGAAAAAGAAATAAAAGTCATCTAAATTGAAAAGGGGAAAAATAACAGAGATATATTTATGGTTGACATAATCTTTTAGGTAAAAAACCCTATAAAGGCACCATCAAAAAACTGTTAAGATTTAAGAAACAAATTCAGTAAAGGTGCAGAATCAATATAGAAAAATCAAATGTGTTTTTTAAATAAGTTAACAATAAACTGAGAGAAAAAGAAATTTAAAAACCAATCCCATTTACAATAGTATAAAAATAGTTAGGAATAAGTTTAAGCAAGGATCTAAAATATCTAAAATAGTTATAAGCGAAAAAGTATAAAATATTGACAAAAAAATTGAAGACACAAATAAATGAGAAGATAGTCCATGTTCATAGATTAGAACTGATATTGTAAAATTTTCATACCACCCAAAGCAATCTACACTCTCAATACAACGCCTATGAAAATGTCAAAGGCATTTTTCACAGAAATAGAGCTATTGTCAAAATATTCAAACTACCCAAAGCAATCTACATTTTCAATATAATATGTATCAAAATTTAAAAAGGATTTTTCACAGAAATAGAAAAAACAATTTTAAAAATCCTAAAATTTATATGGAATCATAAAAAAAACCTCTGCATAGCAAAGCAATCTTTAGCAAAAACAAAGCTGGGGACAACATACTACCTGACTTCAAAATATACTACACAGCTATACTAACCAAAACAGCATGGTCCTAGCATAAAAACAGAACATATAGACCAATGGAACAGAGAATCCAGAAATATACCCATGCATTTAGAATCAAGCTATCACTGACAAAGGTGTCAAGAGCACGCAATGGAATAAAAATATCCTCATCAATAAATGGAGTTAGAAAAACTGTATATTCACATGCACAGAAACAAAATTGGACCCTTATCTCACTATATACAAAAATTAATTAAAGTAGATTAAAGACTTAAACTTAAGAACTGAAACCATGTAACTGGAAAAAAACTTCTTGACATTGGTCTAGGCAATGATTTTTCATAAATAATCCCAAAACTACTCTTAACAAAAGCAAAAATTGACAAGTGGGATTGTAACAAGCTCAAAAACTTCTGCACAGCAATGGAAACAATCAAAATGAAATGGTAACCTATGGAATGGGGGAAAATATTCACAAGCCATGTATCTAACAAAAGGCTAATATTTAAAATATATGAGGAACCCATACAACCCCAAAGCAAAAACAAAACAAAACCAACCAACCAAAAACAAAAAAAAATAACCTGGTTTTAAAATGAGCAAAGGATTTGAATAGACATTTTTCCAAAGAACACATATAACTGGTCCACAGGTGTATTAAAACAAAAAAAGCTCAACACCACTATTCATCAGGGAAATGTAAATGAAATCCACAATAAGATATTACCTCACATCTGTTATAATGGCTACTATAAAAAATATATTTTTTAAAAAAGCAGAATATAACGAACGTTGGCCAGGATGTGGAGAAAAGAGAACTCTGTTGCACTGTTTGTGGTAATGTTAATTGGTGCAGCTCCTAGGGAAAACAGTTTGAACGTTCCTCAAAAAATTGAAAATAGAATTGCTGTATTATTTGCCAACCCCACTTCTGGATGTGTTTTTTTTATAAAAAAAGAAATCAGAATCTCAAATAAATATCTGCACTCTCATAATCATTACAGCACTTTTGCAATAGTGAAGACATGGAATCAATCTAAATGGTCATTGACAGAAGAGTGGATAATGAAAATATGGTATATACATACAATAAAATATTATTCAGCCTTAAAAAGAAGGCAATCCTGACATTTGTGACAATGTGGATGAACCCATAAGACATTATGCAAAGTGAAATAAGCCAGACACAGCAGGACAAATACTACATGTTTCAGTATTTATGAGGAACCTAAGACAGTCAAAGTGGTAGAAGCAGAGAGTAGAGTGGTGGTTGTCAGGGGACTGGTGAAGAGGGAAAGTGGGTAGGTATTAGTCTAAATGCAAAAAGTTTTATTTATACAAGATGAATAAGTCCTAGAGAGCTACTATACAGCATAATGCCCATAGTTAATAATACTCTATTGTATGCTTAAAATTTTTCTAAGAGGATAGGAAATATATCTTAATATGTTATCACTAATATATTATTATTGATAAAAACGCAATATATGTGTGTTTTCATACATATATTGTGTGTATAATAATAATAAAGAATCCAGGAGGAAACTTTTTGAGGTGATGGATATGTTTATGGCATAGATTGTGGTGATGATTGTATGGGTGCATACATACCTCCAAACTCATCAAGTTATTGGATGTGTATTAGTGGCTCAACATATGATTAAATGAACATAGAGACTGTAAACTAGTTCAGCCATTGTGGAAGACAGTGTGGCGATTCCTCAGGGATCTAGAACTACAAATACCATTTGACCCAGCCATCCCATTACTGGGTATATACCCAAAGGATTATAAATTATGCTGCTATAAAGACACATGCACACGTATATTTATTGTGGCATTATTCACAATAGCAAAGACTCGGAACCAAGCCAAATGTCCAACAATGATAGACTGGATTAAGAAAATGTGGCACATATACACCATGGAATACTATGCAGCCATAAAAAAATGATGAGTTCATGTCTTTTGTAGGGACATGGATGAAGCTGGAAACCATCATTCTTAGCAAACTATTGCAAGGACAAAAAATCAAACACCTTATGCTCTCACTCATAGGTGGGAATTGAACAATGAGAACCCATGGACACAGGAAGGGGAACATCACACACCGGGGTCCGTTGTGGGGTGGGGGGAGGGGGGAGGGATAGCATTAGGAGATATACTTAATGTTAAATGACGAGTTAATGGGTGCAGCACACCAACATGGCACATGTATACATATGTAACAAATCTGCACGTTGTGCACATGTACCCTAAAACTTCAAGTATAATAAATAAATAAATAAATAAATAAATAAACAAACATAGAGGTTCATTCAACATCTAAACATAATTCTTTTTTTGAGATAGTTTTGAAAGCTAAACTAAAAACTACTTTTCCAAACTTCTTTGTAACTAGGGTTCTGAATGTAAAGTAGGTTTCATCCATCAGATGCATTTGCCCGAAATCTGAAGTCAGAGTTGAGACAGAAAGCATTTTTCTACTCTCTTTTGGCTGTGTCTATATAGGCACATGTGAGAAGAAGGTTCTCTGCAAAGGTACTCCTTGCCTAGCTTCCTGGATGGTTGGGAGATGCCTCTTGGACTCATTTCTCTTTTCCTGGTCTGCAGATAAAGGCTTATGTGTTCCATAGTTTGGGTGTCTGCAATGGGGGAAGCAATGGTGGCAGGTTTTTGGGTATGGGACAGCTCCAGAGATAGCCCAGGATTGGTAGCTCCATTAAGGATCAGCTGGATTGTTTGAAAGTCTTTCCTGGAGGCCCAGTTTAGACTCTATTTCTATGTAATAAATTTTAAACCCCTGATTCCCTATGTTAAATCAATTTTTGCTTAAAATATCTAGAGTGTCACCTATTTTCTATATTTAATCTTGAGTGATACATTGAGTAATGGTCTCTACTTGTAAAAACACATTTCTAAGAATCCATCTTTCAATTCTCTTTCAGTGTGAGAGGGGAGTGTTATCAAAATCGTACCCCATTCATCCACAACAAAGATGTGGACCTGGGAGGTATGGGGACAGATCTATGGGAAGAATTCCACTACCACTGCACATAGTAGTCAGTGAACAAATTAGCAAATAAAAGATTTATGACCAACAATGCTTTTGATTATTTTTGGCTTCCTTGGGTTTCCTTCTCACTTTAATTAATCATTTAAAAAGCTCCTACTTTTGGAGTGCTTATTATATACCAGAAATGGTGATAGAAACTTTGACGAATTTTTTTCCAATCCTCATGAGATCTTTGTATGTACTTTTGTCCCTGTTTTAGTCATTTGTTTATTCAGATGAAGAATCCCAGGTTCAGAGAGGTAAGTCTTACCTCAATTAACTCATTTTCATTCTCCTTTGCCTTTTATCATAGAAAAGCTTTGAAGATTCCATCACCTTTACTGGCAGAAAAAAATGCACTTGAAATAAGAAGACTTGGTGCACGTACTGTTCCAAGATTTCCTAGCAGTGGAATGTGGCACAATCACTCACATTTTCTTAACCTCCATTCACTCACCAGTAAAATGGGCACATTAGCATCTTACCTGACTATTGCACAGGTTCCTGCACAACTCCATAGCTCTTTAAACATCCACTAGAATGTTGGAAAGATTTAAAAATATATACATTGTCTAAGAGTAAACACAAGGGCAAGTCATTTAACCCCTTACATCCCTTACATCTATTTTCTCATCTAAATAATGGGTATGATGAGTGTAGCTCCCTCATTGTTGTGAGTGTTAAACAGAATAACATAATTGAAGTGCTTAGCACAGTTGCTGAATGCTAAGTACCAAATAATTTTAGCTTTTATTTTTATTATGAATAACAAATCATAAGTTTGTCTGAGGCATTTTATCCAAGTAGATTCCTCTACGTCCCTGTTCAACAGTTCAAGAGTATTTTAAAAGGAAAAAAAAATGTATTAGCTTTAGCAGTGCCCTGAGTATATTCACCTGCCAGGAATAACTTGTATCCTGAAGTGGAGATGCAAAGCCTCCTGCCAGTTGGCCCTATGCTCTGTTTGGAAAGCTGCTTTCTCCCTGTCCTCTTGGCTCTGAGGTGGATAAGTAGATTTTCCATCCTTTGGTCAGTGCCAATGACTCGGGCCAAAGGAACAGATGTGAAGTGCAGCCCTCCAAGAGCGAAGTCTGGTCAGATGAAAACTTTTCCTAGGACAGCTTTTTTCATGCCTGGCCTCACTGGCAAGCAGAAGAATGGATGAGAGACAGCAGCCATATGCCAGACCCATGGCAGACACTCGGCAATTACAAATGCTTTGCAAGGTAACTTTTTGTTTGCCTGTTTCTTTTAAGCCAGTAAGGGATCTGAAGGCTATATAAAATCACAGTAAAACCCATGCCTAAGTGGGCATGAAATAGATCCCTGAGTGGGTATTTGGGTAGAATGTCTGATTGACTAATCTAGCAACCTAGTCTGAGAACCAGTCACTTATTTACAATGGAACAGGTTTTGTAGGTAGCACTTGGCATAGAACTCATATTTTTTTCATGCCAACATCTCTCCCGTCAACCAAACTACTGAGAAGAGACAGGTCTGTTCTAGGAAGAGGCATTAGGCATGTTTGTGGGATACAAGAAGGAACCTCCTTGAGGCCAAGGGTTGCACAAGAAGTAGGAACAAGTAAGCCACAGAAACATCTAACACTATAGAAATATAATCACTAAGGACTTTGTATTTCAAGTCCAAAGCTCAAGCAACTGTAGATAGAGAAATTCAGATCTTTTTTTTCAATCAGTTTGTCAGCTTTAGTAAAGAAAGTCCAACGAGAGGTAATACAGAATATAGTCAATGATCAAAGACTTTTAAGAAACTGTGCTGCAACAAGACAGGAGTGTTTCCCTTAGATTATCTGGGCTATGGAATGCTCCAGTTCCCTTATAAGGGGATAGTGGAGTGAGGATACAAATCATAGTATTTGGTGGTAGTCATTTTTTAAATTTTTCTTTTTATGTATGTATATGTATACCTGCTCAATTTGCTGTAAAATGCATCTAGTTATTCAGTAACATTATTATCAGGCCTTTGGAGGCTTTTTACATAGTCCTAATGATGCCAGACAGGTGAACCCCAAAGTGGCGCTTAGCCCGTGATGGTTCTTGGCTTTGCTCAGGAAGGAATTCAAGAGCAAGGCAGAGGAAGGAGAAACAGCTTTATTGAAGAGGCAGTGTTACAACTTTGTGACTGCTCCTGTAGAGCAGGGCTACCTCTCACAGGCAGAAGGTAGCATCTCAGGGAAGTTTTGCAGTCATATTTATATCACTTTTAATTACATGTAGATTAAGGGGGTGGTTTACAAAGAAATTTCTAGGAAAGGGGTAGTAACTTTTGGGCCATTTGGTTGTTGTCATGGAAAGGGGCAGGTGTTGCCTGCCAACTCCCGGGTGTTGCTGTGGCAATGGTAAACTGACATGGCAAAATGGTGGGTGTGTCTTATGGAAAGCTGCTTCTGCTCCATCCCTGTTTTAGCTAGTCCTCAATTTGGTCTGGTGTCCAAGCCCCCCCTCCAGGTTCTAGTCCCACCTCCATCTCCCACCTCATTAACATAAAATAATTCCTCCCAGATTTCACAAAAAAGTACATGAACCAGTTATACCCAAAGGGCAGTTTAGAGTCAGGATTCTTATGCCCAGAGTGCAAGATCTTGCAGAACAAGCTTTTAAATTAGGCTCATTTTTTGCTTGAGTGGTATACAAGTTACAGAAATTTTCTGGTGTCTAATTTTCCCTTGAGTTTTCTGGGTTCTTGAGCTTCTGTGTGTACTTTTCTATGGCATTCTCCAAAGCCCCAGCTAAACAAGATTTTTATCAATTTATTAAGTATATACACAGTTCTGGGTATTCTGAAAGAAACATTGAACTTAGTCATTCCAAAAAGCAAGTCATTCCTTGTTGAGATGAAGTTAGTTCAAACCCAGCCTCAGTTCCCTGCTGCCCTCTGTTGATAAGGCAAAGAGCAAGTGGATCACAGCTGAATGATATAGGGGTCTAGCATTTCCCACGGAAGCAAATGAGGTAGGGAAAGAAAATGATATACTGCTCCAAGGAGCAGTCTGTTGGATGTGAAGGAGGAAATCGGGAATTAACATTTTTTGAGAGACTACATTATAATAGGACTATCTTAGTTAAACATGCCATATCATTGAATTGTCAAACAACACTGAAGCTACATATTTTTATTCTCATTTGACACAGGGAGGAGCTAGCACTCAAAGTGTGCAGTAATTTTCCCAAAGTCACATGGGCAGCAAATGGAAGAATAAGAGCTTGATTCTTCCTGGATTTCAGAGTTCCCTAACTACTAAGTCCTTCCAGGTCTGAAGTCAGATTTGTTTCTTCCGTTTCTTGACCCTCTACCTAATCAGTAACTCCAACAACCAACAGAGTTGCCTATGTTGGGATCTCTCCTGCTGACCTCTCATAATTGCTCTTATCTAGGTTTCCTTCCCCATTTCCATTACTGTAGATCACTGACCATATCCTGAACTACTTGAGTCACCTCCTGCTCCCTCTTCCCACTGCTGGTTTTCACTAACAGCTACTATATATGGTGCTGCAAGATTAATCTTCCTAAGGTCAATTTGATACTTTCACTCCATAATGTAAAAAAGAAATCAGTGGTTCTTCATTGTATTTTTAATCATGATTATTCTCCATAACCTGGCATTTAAGGCCTTCTATAATATGGTCACAGCATATGCTCCAAGTCTAACCTCCAGCCAAGAGCTTATACCAAAGTATACATTGTTCAAATAAGAGATGAATACTCGTTAAATAATCCTTGCATTTGGATTTTGCTCATGCTGTTATCTCCATAAGGGTTACTTTCCCCTATTTTCACCTATGTAAAAAAATAGTGCTCCTTTGAGGTCCATCTCAAATGCTACTTTCTCTGTAAGCAATTCTTGATACTCCCAATCAAATAATACTTTGCTTTTATGGACCTATCCTCCTCTGTGCTGGACAGTGAAAGAGAAAGCAAATTGAAGTTAACTGTGCACTAAATTTGTATTTGCAGCTTTACACATCTAATCTCATTTAATCATCTACATTAATTTAATAGGATCTGTGATAGTGTCTCTACATTCTACAGATGAGGAAACTGGTACCCAGAGACACTAATATTTTTCCCAGTTTCCTAAAGTTAATAAGCAATGGAGTGAGAATAAAATCCAGGGCAACTAATTTCAATGTTGTAATCTTTTCTCTATTCTACATATGTTTACTAGAGGACCAAATGCTTAATCTGTTTTCAGATATATTTAGTTTGACCTATATGGCCTTTTGATATATCTATATTCGTATCTACATCTATCTATTGATTGAGCTTTATAATTACTTTTCAACTTGAAAAAGATTACATAAAACCTAGATTTTAGCTTCTCTTGAAAAAAGTTGGAAACTAGAGATACTTTGGGTTTACATTCCCCTATGACTCAGTTGGTTGGTTTACTCTGTGCATTGATAACTCTCTTTATATGTCTAATGTCCTCCAGTTTGTGATGGTTCCCACTCTGCCTCACTCCAGGTTGTAGCATTCTGATGCCTGTACATTTGTTATAATTTCCCTGAGAGTTTATTTTTTTAGGATTAGAATGTCTCTCTTGTTCAGTTTTGCATTCTTTATTAGTACCTGGCACAGTGCCTCTATCAGGCAACAGTGAGAATTAAAAAATAAAATAAAATAAAAGTAACATTTTAAAGCACAATTGTTTGGTTTCAGAGAGACTTTAGTTTCATCCTCAACTTTATTCCACTAAGCGTTTGTCCAATTCCTTAAAATCCCTTTATCTTAGTTGCCTCCCAGAGTTAGTGTGTGAATTAGATAATGTGCACAAAATAGTAATGTGGCTGGCACATAATAGGTTTTCAATAAATATTAACTCTTATTATGATGGGCTATTATTTGTGAAACATAAGCAAAATGAAATTCTTTTCATTAGCATTAATAGAAGTAGCAAAATGAGAAAAAAAAACAACTAATAGTTTGCCCTCTTATTGAATGACTCATACAGAGCAATCTTTTTCTCTCCTTTTCCTCATTTTTCACAGGAGAAAAAGTCAATCAGAAGCTGCTAGAGCAGAGAAAAGCAAATCACTTTGGCACCTGAACAACAAAGCAATGTTAGTTTATTTTCTTTGTAAAAAGTCATCTGTTTGCAAACCTCTTTTATGAAATACCTGTCATAGTGCATTTTATTGGACGTTATTCACTCCACATTTTTTTGGCCTCAAGGTCATTCCATTATCAGTTCCTACTTCACCTTCAGTATTGGAAATGGACTGGGGGAGATGGAAAGGAAAACACACACACAAATATACAACACACACACCAGATGGACAGCTCAGATAATAAAGGTGATTTCAATCCATTGCAGGCGGAACTCAGATCTGTCCCTACTACAGATGAAACCAGCACTAGTGACACTTACTGATAGATCTGGAAAGACAGCT
The DNA here is from genome assembly GCF_000001405.40 of Homo sapiens. Classification (NCBI taxonomy): domain Eukaryota; kingdom Metazoa; phylum Chordata; class Mammalia; order Primates; family Hominidae; genus Homo; species Homo sapiens. Next base: position 80,285,359 of record NC_000011.10, read on the forward strand.
TGCTAGCCTGCTATCAAAGGTGCCTGAAGCCAGGAGCAGCTTTCAATCTGATCACTAGGTCTTACATGAGATAACAAAAATATGTTTTATGTGCTGTTTCTTTTTGTTAACCCATTTGTTCACTTCCTTTAAAAAAAGAGAGAGAGAAATCAAACAACAGTAACCACAAAAATACTCAAATACCTCTCCACATCTTGAAGAATGACTCAAGATTCCCAGCACATTGTCCAGGGTTCCTGCCAAATTTTTGCTACTTTCTGCATTGGTCTTAATGGGGCTGGCCTGATTAACTTCTCCTGTGATACACTGATCTTCACGTGGGACTGTCTAAAGATAAATTTGGAGATAGATGGGTTTTATAATCTCCCTCTATTTCTGCACACTTCTCTTTCTCTCTTGCTGAACAACTAAGAAGTCTCTTTTCAAAGCTTGCCCAAAGAACTAGTAGCTTGTTACAAATCAAATCTCTCGTTCTGGCCTTCAAAATAAAGAAAAGGGTGCCAGCCAGCCTTCTGCATTTTAGGCATCAAATTTATACTGTACACATGTTCTTTCACTGAATTTGTAAGAAATCTTTGATGTACAAATAATGATGATGACAATGACAGAGATGATGATGAAGAAGATGAGAGAATCATAACAGTGATGACGATGGACTTTTTATAAATTAGGAAATTAGAGCTCACAAAGAATAAATAACTTTAGTCAAGATTATGCAGCTAGCAATTAGAGCTTCTGCAGAATCACAGAGCTCCATTCATTGGTCTCCAAGCAACGTTTGTACTTTTCTATTTCTGCCTACCAAGCATCTCTGTTAGTTGAGATTTTTATCATAATCGTTTTTGGTCTTGTTTTTGTTTCTTAGTGGTAAAGGGACTGTAATTGGTGCATACAAGTATAATTCAATTAAATTCAGAGGATAGGGAAGAGATTGACTTTCCAAGCTCTTTGACTATCTTAGATAAATGAAAGGACTATGCTTCAAGCTGCTCAAAAAGAGCCAGGTTATGAATACAGAATCTGCACCTTAAGGTTCCAGTTAGGTCTGGGATCAATAGGAATGATATTCTGAAAAAGTAGATTCACAGACTAAGACGGGTGTTATGTTTAGTTACTCCTTTCTTTTAAAGTTGTCATATTGACCTGATATAATAAATCTAAATGACTGAAATATATGTCCTCAGTCATAGAGAACCCAGAATGATACTCTTTCATGTTGAAAATATGTATTTATTGCAAAATGAGTATCCTTCATATACAACTGATCCTGCTCTCTAATTAGTGCCATAAAGAAGGGCTTTAGATGAACCATTCGGCAGTGAAAAGCTTCAGTTTGGGCTGGTATCTTAGTTAATAGGCTTGGCTAACAATCCTAACAACAAATCAACTGCTTTAGTTACCTGTGAGTACATTTTACATGAAGGTGTCCAAGAATATGAATATCTTCTATTCAATTACCAATCTTGTTACTGATTGAGAGAAAGCAAATTCCAGTTCTCTTATTATGTAAATATAAAACCATAGTCATTTTAAAAATAAAAGATGCCTGACTATGCCTGCAATGTTTGTTTTCATTTAAATAATAACACAACTTACTCATTTAATTTTTAAAATCTTTTGTCTACTTTGTCCTGGTTTGGCTGTAAAAACTGCTACAGTAACCCAAAGTAATATTATTTTCATAAAGTTCCCAGCAGTTCTCAGCGGGACACTGAGACTTGAGCAAGCACTTAGAAGGTTATCTCCAATCAACTGCTAATGACAGTGAAACTAATGTTATTTTATTTAAGTAACACTTTAAAGTTTACATATTACTTTCACACTCATTATGTAATTGGAATCTTACCAAAACTCTTTTGGCAGGTTAAGTCATGTTATTTTTCTCATTTAAAAGGCAAAGTAACTAGTGTTCAGAAGGGTTAAGTGCTTTACTGAAATGCATACAACTAAAGTTCATGATATATATATTCTTTAATTTTTGGCATAATATATTTTTGAAGTAGCTTTAATAATCTAAATAAGGATAACGTCCAACTCTATAATTCTAGCCTAGATATCTCTCTTAAGATTGAGATCTGATCCAATTGCCTTTCAAATATTTCCATCTGGACATGCCATAGCTTCCCACTCAGCCTGTCCATAATGAACTTATCACCCTGTAAATCTGCTGCTCCTCATGGGTGCCCAGTTTCAGGGATAGGTACCTCCAAATATGAAGGTATTCAAGCCACTGTCTCTTCCCATGCACTCCCTACCACTCTCATTTCTAATCAATCATTAAATTCAGCCAATTTTATATTCCAAATATCTTCTGAATCTTTTCACCTCCCCCTGCTTTTCTAGTTTACATCACAATTTTCTCTTACCTGGACTAATACAATTGCCTTCCAACTGGTTCCTGACTTCCAACCATGCTGCAATTCCCAAGTGCCTTACAAATAAAGTGTAAATATTTTATTCTTTCTTTATTTTATAAAATGAAAATAATAGGGTCTGTATCTCACGGTCCGGTTATTGTAAGGAAGTAATTAGATTATAGTTGTAAAAGTAGAAGGCATTTTAATCACTGTTTGAGGAAAGGCAAGGATTGTCTGGACCACCTGAATCACTAACATCCTCCAACTTAGATGATATTGTGTCCACTTTAAGTGTTGGGAAACTGAAATTAGGAACAGCGATAAGATCTGCTCAAGGTCAGTTGATAAGTGATACTCCAGAATTTTTTCCGTGTAACTATTTGACCCCACACCTGTGAACTTTCCTTTACCATAGCTTGGACTCAGTTCTGTGTGAACTTGGGAACCAGGGATGATTTTTGAGGATGACCCCAATACTCAGAAGAGGATTTGTTACATATTTCCCAGTAATACAATACTTCTGGCCTTGTGGGAATGCTTTCTTGAAGCCTAGGGTAGGTAGAGAGACTGTGAAGCCATAAGCAGAATGAGGTGAATGGGATACTTGACCTACTGTGTGAAAAATAAAGAAAATGGCATCTCAGGGCTGATGCAGGGGAGCATATCAGCTCCATCTTTGGCTCATATGGGTCATTCTGACTCAAGCCATGCATCCATAGATTGACATAGGTGACGTATTGCTTGTGTCTCTCATCCTTCAAGCTACATGGAACATCTTCTCATCATGGCAATGGCAGAGGCATATAAGAATACAAACCTAACCACAGAAGTGTTTGTTTGTTTTTTTTTTAAGTCTTTGATGAAATCATGTCTGCTAACACCTCATTGGTTATGTCACATGAAAGAGTCCAAACTGAAGGAGCAAGGAAGTGCACTGTGACCATGGAGTTGGTCAGAACTGCCGAGTCACACGGTAAAGGCTGTGGACACAAGAAGGGATAAAGAATTGGCACATTTAATGCAAATTACCAAATGATTGTGACAATTTTACACAGTTTGTAAAGAAGTTGTAGAAAATTACACTCCCACCAGCACTGTATAACAGTGGTTCTATATTTTTGTCTGTGGTTCTATATCTTTGTCAACACTTGATACTATTTGCCTTATTCATTGTAGCCATTTAATCATTACAAATGGTATTGCATTGCTGTTCTTTGCATTTCTCTAGTGAACTAATAATGATATCTTTTGTAAAGTGACTACTCCTGTCCTTTTCTTTAAGTTTGTTGGTATTTTTCTGAACGATTTATAAGAATAGTTTATATGTTTTAGATACAAGTTCTTTTTTCAGATCTACATATTGCAAATGTTCCTTATACTCTGTGGCATGCCTTTCTAGTCTCTTAAGAGCTAAAGTTCTTAATCCAAATAGAATTCAATTTGTCAATGTTTTCCTTATGGTTAGTTTTTTTTTTTTAATGTTCTGTTCAAAAATGTTTTGACTATTCCAAAGTTATGAAGATTTTTTTCCCATTTTTTTTCTAGCTGCTTTTTTGTGAGTGGTTATTGGTTTATTATTCATATTTAGATCTATTATCCATTTAGAGTTGATTTTTATGTGGTTAGAGGTAGAGGGTTGAAATTTGTTTTTCCATATGTATACAAAATACACAATACCACTTACAGAAAACACTGTGCTTATTCCACTGCACTGAAATGCTACTTATGTCATAAACCTAGTGATTTTAAATGTGTAGATTTGATTCCAGGCTCTCTAATCCTTCTATTGATCTGTTTGTTTATCCGTACAATAATGTTGTACTCTTTTAATTACTCTAGCTTTATAGCAGGCCCTCATAGCTAGTAGCATGAGTCCTTCAGTCTTGTTTTATTTCAAGATTTTCTTGGCTATGTAAATTTTTGAAACACATAGTTGATTACATTAAATGTAATTAAACATTTAGATGATTTCCTATAGCACTTTGGGTAGAGGCTGAAATTCTTACAGGGACCTATGAAGTCCCGTCTGAACTGACCCTATCAACCTCTTAAACCTTATTTTGAACCCCTGTTCATCCTTGATCTCTATTGCCTCACACTGTGCCTTTGGCGTCTTCTAACATCAGTAATCTCTCCTACCACAGTGCCTTTGTACATGCTGTTCTGTTTCCCTGGAATGTTTTTATGTCAATCTTTCCCCTTGCCTTTTGATCCTGCAGCTCTCAGTCTAGTTTTTATTTCTTCAAGAAAGTCTTCCCTGACCAATCTGATTAATTTTTCTCTATTCATGTTTCCATAGCTGAATGGACCTCCTCTTGCTACTGGTGAGTGAATTGTGTGGGTGATTAATTGGCTAATCTCTATCTTCTCCCTTGGCTTGAAATCTATTTTGATCATTATTTTATACCTAGCATTTAGCATAGTACCTGTTGCATAGTAGGTACTCCTAAATATTTTACTGAATTAGGGAAACTGTGTAGTGTACCAAAGGCTGTGTGGAAGGGTGTGGGAAAGCAACACAGCCTTTTAGTGTTAAACAGACAGGTGTTTGAAACAAAGTAAGAATATGACCAGCAGCATGACCTTGAACAGGTACTTTGAGTACTCTTTCTGTACCTCACTTTTCCTCTCTAAATATAGGACAGATACCCTGTGGAACCCAGCACAATATGTACAGTAAGTCAGTGACAATTTTTAGAGGGCAGAGCGTGGGCCCTATCACTGGCCTCCTGATTCCCGGTTCACTGCTCTGACTATCCACGTTCTGATGATTACTCACATCAAGTTCTGTTATGTGAAAACAAGGCCTGGAAATTTTCAGATGTAGAAACTCTCATTTGGAGGAAATTGATCACTAGGTTCATGTTCCCATCCATTTCTCTTCGGCTATTTTATTTTAAACCTGAAACAGGGAGAACCACCTTCCTGGAGGACAGAATCCTCCTGAACTAAAGAAGGCTCAAAGTCTATCTTATTAGATTTTGGGTATTAGTGAGAGCAGGGGCTAAGCCAAACAACCATGGTGGAGGAAAATTTTGTAAGAAATTGTTAGCTTTGGCACTTCCCAAGTTTATATCCTGTAAAAGTGTTTGTTTCGATGAAATAATAAGAGATGGGTTAAAATAAGAATTTATGGGCTGTCTTTAGAAGCAGCAAGGAGATTCATAGCCCTGAAAAGGTTAGCTTGGGATGAAAGACACACAAGGTTAGACTGAATGGTGGCAATGTTTACTCAGATTGGATTGTCAAACTGAGATGACCCAGAGGATGTGAGCCCAGTGTGGAAGGCAACACAGCCTTGGGTGGAAACTATGCAATTCGTTGAACATGACTTTACATAATAATATCACTTTCAGACACAAAAGTCTACTCTGCCCCATTATTATATCATTTAGTCTTCAAGTGTGTAAAAAATGACATTAAGGTAAGCAATGCTTGTTATCCTCCCTTTTTAAATGTTCTGAACTCTAAAGCCAGGATGAAGTCATGAATACTTTTTAAATCAGATGAATTTTTTAATTTTATTTTTCTGCAGGTCTTGTATAGCAAAACTCCAAGTAAGTGAACCAATTGCGGAATGTTTTAGAGAGATCGTAGTGAGAGAAAATCCTATCCTGTATGAAAATTCTCTCACCTCATACTATAGCCTCACTTCCTCTGTAGAAAGCTCATGAGCTCCTTCTGTCAGAGAGACCCAAAACAAAATCCTGACTTCTCTAGCAAAAGATATATATGTAAAGCTTATCACTGGTCTGGGGTGCTGCTCAGTGAATATCAGGGCCAAGGCTAAATCCTGCTCTGTAGACTACTACTAAGACTAGTTCAATAGTCTTAGCAGACCATGCTGCCTGTAATTAAAATCTGAAAACTCTAAGAATTGGACCAGAAAATTTATGGGAGACAGTATTGGTTAAGTTCTTTTGCTCAAATCAGATTGTCTGTATTTGAATCCTGGCCTCATCATTTACAATCAAGTAATGTTGGACCTCTCATATAGTATATATGTGCCTCAGTTTGCTGAACTATAACTCCATCTATTCATCTATCTATCTATCTATCTATCTATCTATCTATCTACTTGCCTATCTATCTCTTGTCAGCTAAAGGGCTTGAGAAAATGATGACCCAAGAGTAAATACTTCATATACATAAAGTTAAATATATTGTACCACATATGGCAATAACAAAGATGTCCTCAAATCATCTATCTTTCTAGGGTCAGCTTGTTCCATTATATCTGAATTACTTATAAAATATATAAAATATCTTGAGGACCTTACCTTTACTGATAGAAAATAGTGAATAGCCCTTATGGGTTACTGAATGGGAAATGGAAAAAGAAAACCTTCTAGTTGCTGAAAATATTTTATATATTCACCTTGGGGATGGTTGTTTGAGTGTGTGTGTAAAAATTCATCAAACTGTATATTTTAAAAGTGTTCACTTGACTGTGTGTATGTTATACATCTGGTAAAATAAAATTAAACTTCCTTGAGGCTCCATCTCTAGCTCAGTGGGAAATGCAAACTTCCCCAGTCCACTGACTCGATGATTTTCAGGAAACTCATGTTTTTTTAGTCACCTCTTATTTCATATTTATGCTTCTGTTTAAATCCCTGACTTTATCAATTCTCCCTTCAAGATGGTATTCGTATCTCTCCACTCGATGTTTTTTTCTGTCACTCAAACAAGAAACACAATGACTTTTCCTTAATTATCTCAAAGCAGTGCTCACAAGTGGTGAGGGGCCAAAAACAGGGAAGTATGACGGTTATAATGCACGACAGCACACAATTTAAAATTGCATACTAGGTGTTTAGGCTTATGAAGTCCCTTGTGCACATCTGCCCCACACCTTGCTTCATTTTTTTCTATCTAAATCTCACTTTTCTTTACATTTCCTGGACTTCTCACCTCTGTGTGGCCTGATTTCAGAACTGAAAACTTGTCATAATTTGTCCTTCAAGATACTTTAACCTTCTTTGTTTTTCTCTAACTGCAGGTCTTGTGCTTAAGGACTATTTATCCCCAAAACATTATGTCAGGTGTTTTGTCAGGAAAGCAACAGATATATATTTTTAGAAACCAATTTAATTACCCCCCACTCACTTAGAATGCTCTTATTATGATTGTGCTGTTTTTAGGGAATGATTTCATACTCTTGATCTACAATGACATTAATGATACACAACCCCAAACGCACTCATCTGATCACTGTTTATGCCACATCTAATATCAGCTATACAGACAACGTAGGCTACATATTTGCTGTGTGTATGTGTGGATATACATATATATAGTATGCATATATGTTATGTGTATGTGTTTATGTAAATGTGTATATATAGACACACACAGAATACATATATGTATTCTCACATATATATATATCTCTCATATAGTTCCTTGATTTAAAAACACATATTTTTTACATTTTAAGGTATTTGATATTGGAATATGTTTTATAATTTTTGTAAAAAAGAAAAATGCAGCCATTAAGCAGAAGAATGTGTGGCAACATAACTTCTCTTTGCCTGTGGACATACATGTGCTCATATCTGTGTTCATACCTATGTTCATACTACTGTTACCTGATTTGGATTACTTTGTTAACGTGATATAAAATTAAAGTTTGACTTAAATTTTGATCCCCAATTGTCATTTAAAATGTCTTCAGAAAGATTATACAGTGCTAAAAAGTCCACTGAAATGAACAGTTATTGTGTATGCCAAAGATTGTCTGTCATGCAGCAGGCATTGCAATTACAGTCAGTAGAAACTGTCACATTTCTGGGAATAGATAATGGTATTTTCAGCCCTAGAAGAGGTTAGTATGACCAATTTATTCATCATGAAGGACTACCACTCAGGAACATAACATCTATCTGTCAAAAGCCTTTGGCTAACTTGCAAACAGAGCTACTTCACTTACCGTAATATGTAATACAGTTACAGAAAATTTCAAAATGCTAAGTTCATCCAAATGTGAAAAAATCCAGGTTTTCTTTATTTGTCTCAAAATTATTATATCAGCCTAAAATTTGACAAAGCGGACTTGATGACAAGCAAACATTATCGGAAACAGAAAGTTGTCACCGTGATATTTTGCACACTAATTGGTGGCTAAAAGAGATTCATCCATAAGACTTTCTAGGCTTAAAAAGAAGGTTTAGTCTAAAATGTTGATGGTCATACTAAAGAAGAGTATTGCTTGCAATCATGCAGATAAATGTATACTACTGTTGCTCCATTTTATAAGAATCATGTTTATTATCTATTCAATGTTTTTCCCTCTTCCTCTCTTCTAAGCAGTGGTTAAATTGATGGTGCATTATATTATCACTGACATCTTAGAATTAAATAAATGAAGTTTTCCATATTAATGCTGAATACATGTTACATGGATTGGCAGGTTTGTTGAATGGGTAGATGGAAGGGAGGGGATGAGGGAAGAGTGCAAAGCTGCTCTTTTATCTCTCAAGTTTTGATCAAGATTGTTTTTAACCAGTCATAGCGCTACTGAAATAATTCATTATTGTCAGTGACTTCAGCTAAATTCACAGATTTGATGAAGGGCCTACACTGCCATAAAAAGTATTGGAATACAAACAATGTGTGACACGTGACACTTGCCCATAGGGGCTAGCACACTGCTTACTGCTTGATTAATGGGTGGAAATGCAAGATTATTACATGGAAATCATCTATAGGAGAGAAGAGATTCACTGTTGGCTATTGAGGTAAAGTCTCTCGGAGGAAGCTCTATCCAGAGACTGAATTGAATTTGGACATAAAAGGAGCAGTGAAAAGATAAGGAAAATGTAGAGTAGGTACTATTAGTATGTCCAGGGCAGGAGACAACCATCATTATGGTTTAAACGATCTGAACAGACAATAATAGTAATAAACTTCACTGTAATCTGGGTCTATGTTTTGTTATTCCTGGCCTTGGTTCATAATAACAGCTGTTAACACTTCTTATATGACAATAAGCCATTTAAGTGGCAAAACAGCCCTATGAATATTTAATATACCCATTTTATTGGTAAAGACACTGAGACATATTAACTCAGCCTGGGAAACAGTCAACAGATAGTAGAGTTGTTTTGTATATAGCCTGCAACCCAATTCTGCATTTTTTTCCAGGTTTTCTAGACCAGTTCTCAAAGTCTATGGTCTCAGGATACTTTTACAAAACTTTTAAAAATTATTGAGGCCTCCAGAAAGCTGTGGTTTTTGTAGGTTATATCTTTCGATATTTGCTATGTTAGAAATTAAAGCTTAGAATTGTAAAATAATGTGTTTATTAACGTATTATAAAAATGTCAAAATAAATTACACAATTTTATGAGCAATAACTATGTTTTTCAAATGAAAACAAAATACTAAATAAAGTTGCCTTTAACATTTTCATTTTTTTATTGTTAGACTTAATAGAAGACAACCGAATTCTCAAATCTGCTTCTGCATTCTATCTGTTTCGATATGTTGTTTTCATTGAAGTATACAAAGACAATACAGCCTCACAAATATATGTAGTCGGAAAATTGAGGAATATTTTAATAGTTTTTACAGATAATTGGTACTGCACCAAATCTTGACAAGTAGAGTTTCTTAGATAATATTTGCATTGTGGAATCTGAAAACATGTCAATGAATTTTTTTGTGTTACATTAAAATCCACTGGTCTATTTTACGCTTTGATAGATCTTTTACTCATGCATGGTTTTATGTTATGCATTAGACATTTAGAAAAAAATTGATTCATTGAGTTATCCAGATCTTGCAAATGTTCACCATTTTTTTAAATAGAACATCACAAAATTACATTTGCTAGTAGCACCACTGATCTCAACAGAAAAGTCTTTTAGTATTGGGAAGCTGTCAAACTTAGAGTAGTGAATACAAGTTTCCCAAAATTCTAATTTTTACTTGGTAGCTTGAATTTTATCACTGGCAGCAAATATTGTCATTGTTTCCCTTGAAATAACAGGCTCACTTCCTTTATTTTCAAGAGAACCTCTACTATACAACCAAGTCCAAATAACCATAATTTTGTTTGTCAATTATTCTTTCAAGTAAAAATGACTCCCCTTGAAAAAGTGGCTAGTTCAGCTCATAACTCAATCACACAAGTGCTTTTGTTACTGAGTCAACCATCATATTTCAATATGCAGCAGAATTGCTTCATGTGAATATCCATTTCATCATACAGAATAATAAAAATGTGTCTTCTATTTAAAGATTTAATAAAATTGATAATTTCTACAACTTTATCAATGATATTCTTAAATAAAATTGGGTTTTAAAAAAGTGGTGCTGAAAAATGCAATGACACTCATAGAAATTAGTGCCTTTGCCCTAATTCAAGTGCCTTTGCCCTAATGCAAAAGTTCAACAATTTTACCAACCATTGATTTTGCACCATCAGTACAAACGTCAACACAGCTTAAAAGGGAAATATTTTCTCAGTACTATTATGGAAATAGTCTTGATATTATGGACCTCCTGAGAAGGTCACAGGGACACCCACATGTCTGCAGACCACACTTTGAGATGTTGTGCCTTACTGTAAATGCATCCTGTATAGCTCTGTTTATAAATGTTTCTGTTTTAAAAACCTTAAAGGGAAAAAAACCAACAAATTATTTTTAAAGGATCATTAAATGGCAGAAGTGTGAACCAAAAGACAACTAATGTGTTATATAAGTACTTTTTAAAACATTAATTAAAAGTAAATTTTATGAGAAAAAAGACTTCAAAGATTTGAAGTGAGCCATTAGTTAGAATATCCTACAAAATAGCACATTTATAATTTAAGAGGTTTTCCTTTTTACCTATGGAGCAAACTATACTTTGAATCCATCAATATGGATTTCATATCTGGTATATAATTTTACATAGTTCAGAAAACACTGGGAGAAGATGTGAAACATCTGAACTATGTTCAGAAAACATTGGGAAAACATTGGGATATGTTTCTGTAATATATAAATAATAAATGATATTAAGAATGCTAATAGCTATTGTTTATTGTTTTTAATATATTATATACTTTAATCCTGCAGCATGCTTGTGACTCAAGAACAGAAGTGAAAGGAAGTGTCGGTCTTCTGCACTCTGCCACAGCAAGAAAAATATGAGCCCAAATCCACCAGGTCCCCCTGACTCAAAGCCTAACCCGAAACACAGAGAAATCACGTACACTCATGCCTTCTTCAAACTTCGCTTTTCAGATCTGGAAGCTAAAAGACGCAGCAACAATGACTACATGAAAACTGCTTAAGACCTTTCTTAAAACAGGCAGTGAACTGGTTCTTTGTAATAAGAGGATGAAGCAGAATATTCCATATTTAATTAGCAATCTTAAGAAAGTGAATTAACACCTTCCTTCTGAGGTGTTGCCAGTCAAACACAGTTGGATTCCCATTTTTTGGAGGCTTGGAGGCCTGTTTGGGAGAGGTCATTGACAGTAAATTGCTAGGACACATGATACAAGGCATCACACAAGGAAACATTGTGGAAGCTAACATTTTTCCACAAAACACAAGAGAGAAAACAGAAGCAGATTGAACAGCAATGGTACTTAGTGTTACCCCCAGCTTATAAATTCCTTTTGGGCAGGAGTGCTATATAATTCATTTTTGAATTTCCCTAATGGCACATGCTCGGGCACATTGAAGGCATTCGATATATGTTTGTTATTTTTTAACAAAATTGAATGGGAATTGAAATTTAGTGTGATAAGAAAAGATAACCCATGTATTTGAGTGTTTATATTTTGTAAACCTTGCTCTAATCGTGCATCAAGCTGTTAGTAATTAGTAAATGCTCAAAGAACTATTTGTTGTGAAATTAGTAAAATTATTCTCTGAAACAGCATCTGATACCATAAATACCTCTTAAGACTTTTCATCAGTGTGCTAAGCTATGCTTTTATGCTTGTAGATAGTAAAAAAAAAAAAATCTTCTTCTGAAGGCTTTCTGAATTCTTTCTTCACATCACAATGTAATGTATTTTCAAGGTTACATTAGTTACTATATTTATACATGAATTTGTGTGTAGATGTATATGTGTATATACACTCATATATTATACATCACATATTTACATATAACTGTCATATATATGAACTTTTTAAATACAAAAACATAATCTATACTCCATGTAACACTTCCCCACTAACACACATACCAATATAAAGAGTCATTTTACTCATTACTAAACAAACAAAAAATAGTTCTTGAAACCAAAACCCATAATGTATACTTTGTGTTTCCTTGGTTATCCTCATCTAGAAAAAGTCTCTCTGAGTGACTCACACGGCCACAAGGAATCATTGCCATTAAATTGGCAGCAGTTTTCTGAAATGTGGCATGGTGATGACAAGGGAATGAATATTTTATCTAATTCCTGCCTAACAAATGTAAACTTTCAAATTAATTGAAGATAGAAAAGAAAACACTCTGGGCACTATTTTATAAACTTAATACCTCCTTTAATTACCTCGGCAATTCCCTGAGTAGTGACGTGGGGACCTTAGCTGCTCCCATCCTATCACTAAGCCATCTTTATTGTGCCTTCCAAGGTTAACACAAAAAGGATAAAGGTCTGAAGAATTTCATGGAGTTTTTCTAAGACTTCCTGGAATTTTTTCTGAATCTCTCCCACTCATATCCCATCAGCCAGATGTCACATAGCCATATGCAAGGGAAGCTGGGAAATAGAGTCTTCCTCTGTGTGTCCCAGGAATGAGGACACATGGTAAGCCAGATTTTATCAGAGTTAAAGGCAGCACTGTCCCTGCCATAGTTACTATTATCATTACCCCTTAGAGTTACACCACATCAACATTATCTTTTACGTTTTAGCCAAACGATTAACTCTACAGTGAAACCTTCCAATAATGTGCCCCACAGAATAAAAACCCAGGCACGAGTCAGTCATTCACAGCAACTGGCTAACTCTGGTCACCTCAAAAACTTCACAATAGGGCAACCCTATATTTTATGTGATTAATTGTTTTGGACCCAAGCTATAATGCTATGGCTAGTTTCTACTATATTTATAATACCTTTTTGAATGTGTTAATAGTTCCCAAGAAGTACAGTCAAATCTGTCCTCTAGTGTGAGTCACTAAAAGTGATTATTGATGAACCATAGGTTGCTGGAGAAGCTGAATTATAGTGTATCAATTTGTGATGATATATAAAGAATGAGAATGAGATGAAGTAAAAATATAGAAATAACATTCTGATTCCACCCCTTATTAACTTTATGTCTCAGTGTCTCAGTTTCCTTATCTATAATTTATATCTGTATGAAATAAAAAAATAGAGCAAATAATGCTGACATTTTGTCTAGTATTAAGGAATAAATATAGTCATATTTAATTATTAAAATAACTCTAAAATAAACACAATTTCTATTCCTATTTTATGTAAAAAGAAGCTAAAGTTATATAACTTGTCCAAGGTCACACAGCTAGGAAGTGTTAGAAATAGGATTCAAACTCAGATCTATATGATTCCAAAGTCCAGAATCCATCATGCTCCTTCTTAAAGAACTCTGCCATTTTCGAAATCAGCAGCAATGTTGATATGGTTTGGTTCTGTGTCTTCATCCAAATCTCATGTAGAATTGTAATTCCCAGTGTTGAAAGAGGGCCCTGGTTGTGGATGATTGAATCACAGGGGCAGACTTCCCTCTTGCTGTTCTTGTGATACAGTGCTCACAAGATCTGATTACTGGAAAGCGCGTGACACTACACCCTTAGCTCTCTCTCTCTGCCGTGTGAAGAAGGAGCTTGCCTCCACTTTGCCCTTCAGCCATAATTGTAAGTTTCCTGAGGCTTCCTCAACCATGCTTTCTGTACAGCCTCTAAGACTGTGAGTCAAGTAAACCTCTTTTCTTCATAAATTAACCAGTCTCAGGTAGTTCTTTATAGCAATGTGAGAACGGACTAATACAGATGTTGTTGTTATGGTTATAATTATACCATCAATCTTAGCTTTTCTATTTTGTCCTAGGAAAACTTTCTTCTTTAATCATTTAAACAAAGTTTTGCTATGAACCACTTGGAAAATAAAAAAGCAGATAGCTCAAAACATTGATAGAGTTTAAAGAATCATCAGAGATATAGAGAGCATTTAATTTGCAATTCAAATGGCACTTCTGGTACTACATATGTAAGATACTAATAAATACTGAGTGCAGGTAGGCCTCTGCCTTGATTCCAGGTAGGCCTCTGCCTTGATTCCACAAGTCTTCAGTTTCAGGTGGTCCAAAATTCAAGGTGAGATCATCTTCCTTAGAATGTTAAGTAGGTTTACACTGTTTCCTTTTCTCTATAAATTTGTTTTTGCAAGCCCCACTTTTTAAATCTTATTTTTTAATATTTTTTACCAACATTTTCTCTCTTATACAATACTCATTTTATTGAGGGGTGTGAGAATGTGTTATGTAAAGCCTCTGTTTAAAAAAATCTGGTTCTGTGACATTCTACATCAACTCATTTTTTATTACATAAATATAGTTTTAAGGGAGAGAGAATAAAGTGAGAGTGAAAGAGACGCAAGAAAGAGAGAAAACGAGAAAGAGAGAGAGAGAGATCAAAGTGCCCTGGTCTTTCCCCTGAATCTTACCAGTTCATCATTTTTGTCTGCCTCACTCTAGGTGACATGTGACAGGGCAGCAGATGGTCCCCAAATCCAAAAATTGACTATTTCTAGGGGTGAAAATTGGTATAATGTATATCACAGTCTGGTAAGATATAAAACAGCTGTACTCTGACATTCCTAATAAAGATTATTATATAAAATACTCAGGGAATCATGCAGATACAATTTTTGACAATAATCTGGGGTACTGGTACATGATATCTAATCCTTAATGAAAGGACACATTTAGAAATTTAGAAATTTCACTAGTCTATAGAACAAAAAGGCAGAGAGAAGCAGTTTAAGAAAATCTTTTACATGCTAAAAATATGGGGCTTTGACAGTTAATGGAGATATACCTTGCTTTACACAATAGCATAGGAAAACGGGAATCTCAATGTATCTGCTTCTCAGGTGATTAACTGAGACTCAGATAAGTTAAGTGCCCTCCGCAGAAAGGAATAGAATTTCCACTCCTGACTCCCCACCCACAGGCCCAGCACTTCTCCCACCCAACTTTCAGAGCAGCCTGATCCAGCTCTGCTGCTGCAGCAAGCTCAAAAAGTCCCCATCTTGAAAAGTTATTTCTCATTTCTCATTTATATTACTAATATTTTCAGCTTCCTTATCCTCACTTCTCATTATTCAAAATATTTTAACAAATACATTTGTAAGTGTGTCTGCACATATCTAAACATATATAAAATTTTGTCCAGCAGAAAATGTGTTTATGTAATAAGCTGCATAGGATGACTAACTGTGTGGGATTTCATTCAGAAAAAAAAAAAAATAGTGGGGAAAGAGGAGTTAATCCTAACTGCATAGGATTTCATTTGGAAAAAAGTGGAAAAATGAGAGAATCTTATGGATTAAAAAAGTTGAAAAAGAATATAGACAACCCATAATCCCTTATTTTATTACAACATATTAAAAACTAAAGAAAGCTGCGTTTATGGAATATAGCCCATGTGTACACACTGTGCACAGCACTTTGCAGACCTCTGTCATTCTGTCTTGGCAACAAGCCTATAAGCAAGTATTTATTATGCCCCTTTTCGTAAACAAGGACACTGTCAATTGTACACTTAAGCAATAGTTACATGGTAGAGGTGGGATTGAAACCTAGGTGTGCCTGATGCTTTCCAGCATACTGTGCTGTCTCTTCCTTCCTACATTTTTAAACTGGTAACCTTGTGGGGATTAATGAGCTCCTTGACTTTATAACCTGCTAGGTGAAGCAGCACATTCATTTAACTACCCTCAATCCACTGCTTTGGTGTGATATTTAGAATTCTCTCTTTGAAGCAAAAAGGGAGTATTTATTTCATCTATTTACTTCATGCATTTATTAATTTCAACCTGCAAATATCTGTAGTACCTTGATTTGAACTTCAAAGAAACAATATAATGTGTGAAGAATATATGGAATTTGTATTTCTGTTAGATGAATCCTGATTTCCTTGGCTAATATTGTCTACTCTTGATAATCTATGGTTCTAGCAAACAATAAAAAACTATAAATTAGATCAATAAATGCCATGAGTTTCAGTGAAACATCCTGGTTTAGAGCACTCGAGAAACAGGATATTATGAACAGTGCAGTGAACTAATTATTTCTGTATTTTATGAATGAAGTTTATGTTTGTAATTTTCTCATTTTTATTAAAGAGACAGATTGCATTTTATAATTTTTTTGTTGCATCTACTGCTCACCTACTGAGCTGTGGAATACAGTCAAGTTGAACCAAGAATTTACTACTGAGAAACTCAGGGGAGGTATCACTAGTTTTCAGTCGGTTTTATAACAATGTATAAACAAGTGGGAATCAGGGGGAAAGAACTAACTAAGCTGGCCCCTATTGTGGACCAGATACATGGAGTTTGTCAAAGTCATTTATTTAATCCTCATAATAGTCGTGTTGAAATTATTATTCCCACTTAATGGGTTGGTTCACAGCTATTAAATGATGTGTTCAAGATCATTCACTTTGTAAATATACTTGATTCCAAAATCAAGAGAACCTATGCCTTTAAACCAGAGCTTCTCAAACGTCTCCTTGAAAGCTTTCCATGTTGGAGAAGCACAGATGTCTATAGCTGAGGTTCTGCAGCCACAGCCCAAAGAGGCAAACTAAAAATTCAATATGACTTTATGGTCTTAGTACTTTTCAGAAGTTTATTCCAAAATGTGTGTTAGATTCCATGTTATATCCATCTGATATGGTTTGACTGTGTCCCCACCCATATCTCATCTTGAATTCCCGTGTGTTGTGGGAGGGACCCAGTGGGAGGTAACTGAATCATGGGGGCAGGTCTTTACCATGCTGTTCTCATGATAGTGAATAAGTCTCATGAGATGTGATGGTTTTAAAAACGGGAGTTTCCTTGCACAAGCTCTCTCTTTGCTACTGCCATCCATATAAGATGTAACTTGCTCCTCCTTGCCTTCCACCGTGATTGTGAGGCCTCCCCAGCCATGTGGAACTATGAGTGCATTAAACATCTCTTTCTTTTGTAAATTGTCCAGTCTTGGGTATGTCTTTATCAGCAGCATGAGAATGGAATAATACAGTAAATTGGTACCAGTAGAGTGGGGTGCTACTGAAGATACTCAAAAATTTGAAAGTGACTTTGGAACTGGGTAACAGGCAGAGGTTGGAAAAATTTGGAGGGCTCAGAAGAAGACAGGAAAATGTGGGAAATTTTGGAACTCCCTCAAGACTTGTTGAATGGCTTTGGCGAAAATTCAGACAATGATATTGACAATGAAATCCAGTCTGAGCTGGTCACAGATGGTGATGAGAGAGATGATTTACAGTATCTGGAGGAAGAAATTTCTAAGCAGCAAAGTATTCGAGAGGTGACTTGGGTGCTGTTAAAGGCATTCAGTTTTAAAAGGGAAACAGAGCATAAAGGTTTTAAAAATTTGCTGCCTGACAATGCAATAGAAAAGCAAATCCCATTTTCCAAGGAGAAATTCAAGCTGGCTACAGATATTTGCATAAGTAAGGAGGAGCCGAATGTTAATCCCTAAGACAATGGGGAAAATGTCTCCTGGCCGTGTCAGAGGTCTTCATGGCAGTTGCTCCCACAGACCCTGAGGCCTAGAAGGAAAGAATGGTTTCACTGGCTAGGCCCAGGGTCCCCATGCTGTGTACAACCTAGGGAATTGGTGCCCTGTGTCACAGCCACTCCAGCCATGGCTGAAAGGGGCCAACGTAGAGCTTGAGCCATGGCTTCAAGGGGTATAAGCACCAAGCCTTGGCAATTTCCATGTGGTGGTGAGCCTGCAAGTGCACAGAGGTCAATAATTGAGGTTTGGGAACCTCTGCCTAGATTTCAAAAGATGTATGGGAACACCTGGATGCCCAGGCAGAAGTTTGCCGCAGGGACGGGGCCCTCATGGAGAACCTCTTCTAGGGCAGTGCAGAAGGGAAATGTCAGGTCAGAGCCACCACACAAAGTCCCTACTGAGGCACTGTCTAGAGAAGCTGTGATAAGAGGGCTGCTGTCCTCCAGACCCCGAGTGATAGATTCACTGACAGCTTGCACCGTGCACCTGGAAAAGCTGCAGACACTGAACACCAGCCTGTGAAAACAGCCAGGAGGAATGCTGTACCTTGCAAAGCCACAGGGTGTAAGCTGCCCAATTCCATGGGAATCCACCTCTTGCATCAGCATGACCCAGATGTGAGACATGGAGTCAAAAGAGGTCATTTTGGAGCTTTAAGATTTGACTGCTCTGCTGAATTTTGAACTTGCACAGTGCCTGTAGCCCCTTTATTTTAACTAATTACTCCCATTTGGAATGGATGTATTTACCCAATACCTGTACCCTCACTGTATCTAGGAAGTAACTAACTTGCTTTTTATTTTACAGGCTCTCAGGGGGAAGGGGGTTTGCCTTGTCTCAGATGAAACTTTGGACTGTGGACTTTTGAGTTAAGGCTGAAATGAGTTAAGACTTTGGGGGACTACTGCGAAGGCACAATTTATTTTGAAATGTGAGAACATGAGGTTTGGGAGGGGCCTAGGGTGGAATGATATGGTTTGGCTGCGTGCCCCTTGACATTTCATCTTGAATTCCTACATGTTGTGATAGGGACATGATGGGAAGTAATTGAATCACGGAGGCAGGTCTTTCCTGTGCTGTTTTTTGTGATAGTGAATAAATCTCATGAGATGTGATGGTTTTAAAAATGTGAGTTTCCCTGCACAACAAGCTCTCTCTTTGCCTGCTGCCATTCATGTTAGATGCAACTTGCTCCTCCTTGCCTTCCACCATGATTGTGAGGCCTCCCCAGCCTCTTGGAACTGTAAGTCCATTAAACCTATCTTTCTTTTGTAAATTGGCCAGTCTTGGGTATGTCTTTATCAGCAGCATGAGAACAAATAATACACCAGTTTTATTTTAATGTACAAAATGTTTTAAATTACTTTTTCTCAGTAGACTCCACAGGAACAGTCATCTTGTTTTTTTATGAATTTTTAAAACTCCCTTCCACAGGCAGTCTTCTTATTCTGGCTCTTTTCTCTTCTCTATGAAGCTGTTATATCTGTAGAAAATTCCCTCCAACAGCAGCTTCCTTCTGATGGCTTCCAGTTTTGCTCTTCTCACAACTTAAGATGTTACAAAAATTCCTCAGTGTCAGTCTCCATCACGTCATTATTCTTTTAGGTTCCAGCTGAAGCTGCTTCATGGCTGTCTCAGTCCTATTAAAATCACCATGTCCCTCTTTCTTTTATTAAAAGTCATTAAGTCAGGGGTAACTCCAGGGGACTTAGCATTAGGTCAAACTTATGTCTTGTACTACTCTGGCCTGGAAAACTATATTCTTAGTAAAAACAACTATAACTGTGGCAGCTTTTAGACTGCTAAACACAATGAAGGGATTTTAATGTGTATTCTTCACAAGAACTCTAGAAGTGTCATCATTATTTCCATTTTCAGATTAGAAATCAAATAAAAACCAAAAGCTGTCACTTAGTAAGATTTATCACTTCCCAAGTTTAGAGGCTAGAAATGAAAAAAAACAAAACATTAACAAGTGGTTCCTTATAAACACATGCGCACGTACCTATCTGGATTTATATCCCGATACCCTGGCCAATAGCCACTGCTCATGCTAATCTCCATAAGTATGGAAGGAATTCTTAACTTGAACCCCAAGCTAATAGTTGAGCTTTCCTCTCCCCCTTTACCCATCCCCTCTTTACCTCTCCCTCCTTAGCCACAGCTCAGCCACCCAAGAGGCACCCTTAGATTTATTCTGTCCCAGAGGCTATTAGTGGTCTTGAATTCTGAGTTCTGGTTGCATAAAAAATCACTGGACATGATGATAATAACTAACAGGAACTCCTTTCAGTTGTCAATACAGAGGATTTTCACTCTTTTTTTTTTGAGTAGTTTTCAATGCCTATTATTCACGTAGTCATTCACTAATTCAATACACATTTATAAAGCACCTACAATATATTAGACTACACTAGTGCCATCATATTCTACTTTCAACCTGTTTTTTCTCCAGTAGATATTCCTAGGTATCCCCTTCTACCTTGCTTTCTTTAGACAGCCTTTAATCCAACAAGGTGCAAAAGGTTTTGACCTCTATCTCTGAAAACACACCTTGCTTGCCCACTAACTGGAAGTAAAAATATCACCAACAAGAGGCTGGTGTCGTGGCTCATGCCTGTAATCCCAGCACTTTGGGAGGCTAAGGCAGGAGGATCACTTGAGCCCAGGGGCTTGAAACTAGCATGCACAATATGGCAAGACCCTGTGTCTACAAAACATAAATAAATAAAATACAAATAAAAAAATTAGTCAGGTGGTGGTACACCTGTAGTCCTAGCTACTCAGGAGGTTAAGGTGAGAGGATCCCTTGAGCCCAGGAGATCAAGGTTGCAATGAGTTATGGTCATGCCACTGTACTCCAGCCTGAGTGACAAAGCAAGACATTTTCTCAAAAAATAAAAAAAAAAAGAATATCATCAACAGCATCCCTCTCACTGACATCATTCAAAATGTCATAAAAAATTTTTTTAAATACACTTGTGATTCCATTTTAAATTTAAGTAATTTAACACAAATTGGGTTAATTCAGACACTAATCCCATTTCACAAATGAAAAGAAAGCTTAACTTTAACTCCGCAAATCTGTGCTGAAACAGAGTTCCTAGTCCAATTCTAGTATTTTTCCCTTGCACCAAGCTATTATAAACAACATATAAACCAATTTTCCTTAAAAAGCACAAGAAATATATTAAATATATATACACACACACAAACACACAATGCATGCTAAAATGGTAATAAAAATAAATAGTAGAAGGTAATAAAAATACTATAAAAACAAACAGAATTACTGTAATTGATAATAAATTTTGCTCTGAGTTTTCAGTAGCCAAGATAAACACAATTAGAATTTAATGAAAAAATATATATAGTTTAAATTAATTATTTTAAATTGACAAATAAAAATTGTATATATTTATCATGTACAATGTGTTGTTTTGAAATATGTATTCATTGTGGAATGGCTACATCAAGCTAATTAACACATACATCACCTCATATATTTATTGAAAATATATATTTTAAGTCATTTACGGAGTGCTGATATTTCTAAAACACATTGGATAAAATCCGTGAATTGATATTCTAGGAACCTAACAACAGTAAATCACATTTCCCAAGCTGTGGTCCCAATCTCAGGCACTGAGAACATTTCATGAGATATCTGAGTGGGGCTCCCATTCAGAGCCCCAGTGAGAGGCACTCAATTCAGGGGACAGCTCACCCATAGCTTCAGAGAAAGAATATATCAGACAAAGAACTAGAATGCAGCAGCTAAAATTCCACTCAGAAAGGTTTAAGACAAGAAAATTTATTGAAGACAGTTCATAAAAATAGTCAAGATTCAAAAAGAAACAATGGGGAAAAGATTCCCTATTCAGTAAATGGTGCTAGGATACTGACTAGCCATAAGCAGAAGACTGCTTTTTAACACCATATACAAAAATCAAGTCAAGATGGATTAAAGACTTAAATGTAAAACCCAAAAGTATAAAAACCCTCGAAGACAACCTGGGCAATACCATCCTGGACCTAGGAATGGGCAAAGATTTCATGACAAAGACACCAAAAGCAATCACGACAACAGCAAAAATTGATAAATGGGATTTAATTAAACTTAAGAGCTTCTGCACAGCAAAAGAAACTGTCAACAGAGTAAACAGACAACCTACAGAATGGGAGAAAATATTTGCAAACTATCCATCTCAAAATGGTCTAATATCCAGAATTTATAAGGAACTTAAACAAATTTACAAGAGTAAAACAACCGCATCAAAAAGTGGGCAAAGGGCATAAAGAGACACTTCTCAAAAAAAGACATACATGTGGCCAGCAAGCATATGAAAAAAACCTCAATAGCACTGACCATGAGAGAAATGCAAATCAAAACCACAATGACACACCATCTCACACCAGTCAGAATGGCTATTATCAAAAAATAACAAATTCTGGCAAGGTTGCAGAGAAAATGGAGTTGTTGGTGGGAGTGTAAATTAGTGCAACCATGTGGAAAGCAGTATGGTTATTCCTCAGAGAGCTAAAAGCGGAACTACCATTTGACCCAGCAATCCCATTATTGAGTATATACCCAGAGGAATATAAAGCATTCTATCATAAAGACACATACACTCAAATGTTCATTGCAGCACTGTTCACAATAGCAAAGACATGGAATCGACCTAAGTGCCCATCAATGACAGACTGTATAAAGAAAATGTGGTACATATATACCATGGAATATTATGCAGCCATAAAAAAAGAATGAGATCCTGTCGCAGGAACATGGATGAAGCTGGAGGCTATCATCCTTAGCAAACTAACATGGTAACAGAAAACCAAATACCGCACATTCTCGCTTTTAAGCGGAAGCTAAATGATAAGAACTTATGGACACAAAGAAGGAAACAACAGACACTGGGGTCTACTGGAGATGGGAGGGGGAGAGGAGGGAAAGGAGCAGAAAAGATAACTATTGGACACTCAGCTTAATACCTGGGTGATGTAATAATATGTGTAATAAACCCCCATGACACGTGTTTATTTACGTAACAAATCTTCACATGTACCCCCACACCTAATATAAAAATAAAAATAAAAACTGTCAAAGTTAAAGAGAACAATACAAAATATTGAGGTACTCAGAGGTGGGCAAGCAACAGCAAGAAAACTTTCCCACGATTATGCCTGAAAAGTCACAGGGAGAAAATGGGGTCCTTAGGACCTGTGAGAGCCAGGGTCATGAAGGAAGTTGCACCCACCAGCAGCTGTAGTCACAGAGAAAGAAGCTATTACCAAAAAACCAGAAGGAAGGGGAGAGACATACTCCAACTTTTCTCTCCACTTACCAGCATGTTTCTTCTTGTCACCTCCCATCAGCCAAACCCTACCAGAGAGCAGAGGGCAAGGAACCCCTGAAGACATCAGGAGGGCCAGACTTCAGGTCACAGGACCGAACACTGAAGCAGGAGAAAGATGGTAAAAGACTTCAACCAGCACACCAGTGTTTTTGAGTCTTGGCTTCTGTGCTAACTATGTGAAACTGGGCAAGTTACTTTCCCTCTTCGAGTCTTCCTCTCCTTAGTGGGCTAAGTGAAATAATAGATAAGGATTTAACATCGTGATTATAAACATAATGGATGTTCTGTAAACGTTTGCTGAATATAAACCTGAATTAAAATGGTAGTGCCTTGTGGCACTGGGTTGAAAGAATTTGATTTACAGTTTTGTAGGCAAGGTGAGAGCCATGAATGAAGCCCAATTTCTTAAAGAGCTAAGCTAAATATAGTTACGTTCCTTAGAAGCTAAATTATGGCTTCAGATCTAAAGATCAAGTCAAACCTCAACGTCCCTACAGCCTTAAGTGGTTATTTAGTTGGAATCTCAAACAACAATAAGGGTTTTAAAATATATTAACAGTTATATATTTAATATTTGGTGCTCAAAATCCAAAGAAGGTATTTAAGTGACATATTGCTTACTGACTCATGTCAGGAGACTACAGGTTGGTGGTAGGCTGATCTTGGGGAAGCTGCCTTTTTTAGAAATGGTCTCTAGCACAATAAGTGAGTCATACTCCACCAAGCATCCAGGCACAGTAGCCTGACCCAACCAGAATTAATATAACTTCTTTTTGTCCTAGAGAGAGAAATTGAATTCTCTAGGCACTGAGTGAAACATGTTCATAGCAGCTTTCCAGAGAAGGAAGCCCAGACATTTCTGTTACTGAGACTCCTAAACAGCCATTGACTCCTGAGTCTTGAGTTGTTTACTTCTCTTTTCATGACACAACATACTTCAATACTTTCTAATAACTTATTTTTAAAAAAATTTAAAGTAGTTACTATCAGTTTTTATTGTTAGCAACAACAAGAACTTAAGCTAATATGATATTTTCTATCTTCATTTATTTAAGGTTTCTCCCTTGGACCTATTCACATTTTGGACAATTGGGTGTTGTAGGGGCCTGCCCTGTGTGTTGTAGGGGGATTGGCAGCATCCCTGCCCTCTACCCATTAGATGCTAGTAGCAACTCCCGACTGTCACAATCAAAAATGTTCCAAGGCAATGCCAAATATCTTCTGGAGGGACACGATTGTCCCCAGCTGAGAGCCGCTGATGTAGACTAACAGGAAGCTACACACGGACAAGAAACAATACTTATCTTTGTATACTGTTTTCAGGTAGGAAGGTCCTAGGTTTAAAATATCATTTTAAAGTTGATTCAAATCAACTTTATGGCTTAAATCCTAGTTCTACAACTTGCTATGTGACCTTAGATAAATTATTTAACCTAAGTCGCTGATTCCCCACTTTCAAAATGAAGATGATAATTAAACTGCGCTAATAATTGCACAGAGTTAATAGGATAGTGTATGAGTACAAAGGGTCTGACACATAGTAGGACTTCAACTAGAGCCAGTATAGGTCGCCTTTCCTCAGCATTAGTGCATTCCACTTAGAAATAATTCAGTCATTCTTTACTAAATAAAGAAACGGTTTAAAAGCCTGTAGCCGTGTATATGAATACGTATATGGTCATTTCCAATACTTCTGCTTGCTTATAATAAAATTTCAATTAAGCAAGAGAGAGAGACCAAACTCTTGTTTGCTCACAAATATCAGGGTAATTAATAATGATGGGAAACAAATACCCTGGTGTTTAATAGGAAATTTAGCAAAATATTATATTTTCCCTGTTTGCTATATGTAGACGTGGTCTTCTAGGCAAACACAAAGTTGCATGCAAATCACCTATGTGCCAAGTTCTTAAAATAACAAAGTCATAATCTTCCCAATGCCTGTGCAACTCCCAACTAGTAGACTGCATACAGTGATGACTTTCAGGCTCCTTAGATAGTAGAGATTCTACTGAATTGTTCTCCTAAATCAGACTTTTTTTCCCCAATTTTACCAACAAATTTATTAGCACCAAAAGGGTCCCAAATGATAACGTTGGTGGGAGGCATTTGGCATGTTGATGGGATGAACTTTAGTCAAACTTTGCAATGGAAAAGCCCAGAGGGAAGGGTTAGGATTGTTAACCTGAAAAAGAAGCAGAAAATATTCTAATTTCCTTCTCTTTCTATTTTGCTCCCTCCGTTTTTCTTGAATCTTTGAGAAGAAAGGGAAACCATGGTTGATATTTTGAAAAGAGGAGGAAAAAAGTCATTGCTCCATTGATTCAACATCCATTGTGTACCTGCTTTATGCTGGTCATTCTTTAGGTGTTGGGAATACAATAATTCTACCAGCTCTGAAATCCCAAAATCACATTACTATTAAACAAATGCTACATGAATTTCTCTGGTAGTTGTATATTTCTCTGTCTCTTTCTCTAGGGATAGAGATTTCTCTTTTTTCTATTTTAAAGTTTTTGGGGTAAGGAAGAGGTCTAACTTATAATTGTATGCCTACATCTGAACACAGCCTAGCACAGATCTGTGCTAGGCTTTAAGGCATATTAAGGCTATTCTGTTTAAATAAATGAATACATATTTGGTACTATTCCTGACACGTGTATTTTATACCCTTGTATATTAAGTAATCATTAGATACTTTAAACTTAATTTAATGCAATAAATATATGTTGTCCACTATTCTTCTCTATGTGGTATGAGGTAGGAAACAAAGATAAATTTAACAACTACCTTGACCTCAAGGTACCTTGACAACAACAAAAGACTGAAAAGAAAGAGCAGGCAGCAAAGCAGCTTTCTGAAAGCTTAGGGTTCCTGCAGGAATTCAAAGCCGTGAAATAGGCATTTAATTTAAGCTAATTTGGCTAGTTCTGCAGTATAATAGTATCTCTTAATTTTGGACAAAGCTGTCTTTGATATCAATAGCTGTACCAGGGGAGACTCTATACAGCCTTCATTATCAGCTCCCAATATTGGGGCTATTGATTATGTCTTTCATTTTAAAAGCCATGAGGGAGAGAGATGTCTCATCTCTGCAAGTATCAGCATAGTCAAAGGAACTTGCATCTTTTGACTTATCCCTTTGGGATAACTATTTGCTTTAAAGATAGTCTGTAACCCACTTTGAGCAGCTTGATGTTAGAGAAGAGCTTGGCAAAGTACTTCACTCATACAGATGAAGGTGCCATCCTCTTGCTTCTGCTCATTTTCATTTCACAGGCCCGTTTCTAATCTGGTAGGAGAAGCGGACACAATCGCTCAGTCGGGTTTCTTTCTCCCTCCAGAGAAGCATTTTACTTTGTATTTAAGCAAAAATAGACACTATAAATGTCCTCTATAAGCTCTCTTTCTGCAAATATAATTGCTGGCTTTTAAAAAAAAGTCCATTTGTAGGGTAGATTTATTCATTAAACTCATTTATTAAGTAATTTGTTCACTAAGTAATTTATTTATTCAGTCCAGTTTCTATGCCAGCCCTTGCACTAAGCATTAAACCTCAGGGAATAGAGGTGATGGTGGAGAGGGGCTGGTGGGACACGGTCTGTGGAGAGAGCACCACATAAGAAAGGGAAATCACTATGCAGACTGTAGAATGATCCCAGTGCTCTGGAGTTTATAGAAATAATGTGAGCAATGACAATAGAGATATAAACTGGGAACTGTTCATCAAGGAATGGAGGCCATGTGAAAGAGATTGGATTTTGTATGAAAGATGGTGGAAAGCCAGGGAAAGCTAGGTGTTTTTAAATCATCAGTCTATCAGCACTATAGAACTACACTACGTAATATGGCAGCCAATAAGTGGAACCACGGGTGTCTACCAAGCACTTAAAATGTGGGTAGCCTGAATTACTATATGCTGTTAAGTGTAAAAGACACACTGGATTTCAAACACTTAAATACAAAGGAATATAAAATATATTACTATTAAGTTTTAGATATGTAAGAAAGATATTTTGTATATTGTGCATTAAGTATGTTATATACAATTAATAGCACTTATTTTTTCTTGTTTCTTACTTTTTTAATGTGGCTATGAGAAAATTTAAAATTACACATGTGGCTCACATATTTCTCACAATGTATTTTAAAAATTCCTGGGCTAGATGAGAGATGACAGACACCTAGACAGAGGAAATGATATAAAAATGAAGGGAGAGGCAGGGCGCAGTGACTCATGCCTGTAATCCTAGTACCTTGGGAGGCCGAGGCGGGTGTATCACCTGAGGTCAGGAGTTTGAGACCAGCCTGGCCAACATGGCAAAACCACGTCTCTACTAAAAATACAAAAAAAAAAAATTAGCCGGGCGTGGTGGCGAGCGCCTGTAATCCCAGCTACTCTAGAGGCTGAGGCAGGAGAATCGGTTGAACCCTAGGGGCGGAGGTTGCAATGAGCTGAGATTGCAAGCCTGGGTGACAGAGTGAGACTCTGTCTCAAAAATAATAATAATAACAATAATAATAATAATAATAATAATAAAGGGAGAGTAGATTATTTTACATTTATTTGGAATTGTGGACCTAAAGTTAATATATATATATATACACTTAGGCAGCCAAATGCATCTTCAAGAGGCACTAAGGTAATGCAGATATTTTTGCCACAACTTACATGTAGATCTTTCCTAAACCTCAGCTGCTTAGAGCAGCTATTACGGTTGAGGGAAACATGAAATAAGTTTCCTTTTTCTAATCTTCCTTGAGAAAACATACTTTTCTACCAAAGAAATAAGGACATCTTACCCACCCTAGCTTGCATAAGGTGCATTGCTCCAGCAGGAAAAAAACCTCATGGGCTCCAAACAAGGACAACTCAAAAGATTACTGAATAGATGCGAAATTGAAGGGCCAGAGTCTGGGTAATAAATCCTTTGGCAATGTGGTTGTCTATTCTTTGTTTTCAAAGACATTGAAGAAGGACTTAATAAAACTGTCAACTGATGAATCACTAACAATATTTTTTGATGAAAGATCACACTATCACACTATGATCTTTGGGATATTATTCAGAAAAAGATAAAAAAATTGAAGAAATTTTCTGTGACAAACTCTATCCATTCTTATCCACTTATATATGTGAAAAAATTGTTTAGTGTTTACATTTAGAAAGCACATAGAAAAATAAGGATAGAATTGATATTGAATCTTGTTTCATTCTATCCATAGGTAATAGTCATCCATGAATATATAAACTAATTTAAAAAGTCATTTCTCTGATTGAGATACATTTCCAGTAAAATTTTGCTTTTTATGTAATTATTTACTTTTCTATTTAATTATTTGCTTTTATATTTAATTATTTGCTTTTATATTTCAATATTTATTAGAGTTAAAAATATAGGTATGTGGTTTTGATTAATGTATACATAATAAATATAGTAATAATTGCATCTAGAAGAAAAAAATTAACACTTAGGGTTTTAAGTTCCAATAAAAGGAAAATATCTAATATTCATATACATGTATATATATTTCTTTTAGAGACATTTGATAGGTTAATCAATAAAAGCTTTCAAGCATAACAAATAAATTACATTAGGATAAAATTCTGTAGGGGAAGTGAATTGGAAATGCAAGTTCAAGGAGAAAAAGTAGCAAGTAAGACTTCTTGTTATAAAAGAGCTTGTTCATGTATTTTTAAAACGGATGATGGTGGGTATGAAAATCACCCTAGTATTTAGATTCCATTGAATACATTTAGAAGAGTGATGTAACAGTTTTACATTTAAATGCTAGTTTTTACAATGTGCTGTAAAGTGCATCCCCCGCAACCATTTACATTTATCATGAAAAATTGTAGATACTGACTAAAAAATGCGTGACGGGTTGTGCAGTTATTTTTTTGTAATTCTACTGTAGGCTGTGTGAACTCAATGGTTTGAAGACCACTGATTTAGATGACAGATTCAAAATGGGTTTGGTGACCTATTTAGCATGGGGTGAAGAAAAAAACACCTGCCATGAAGGAGACAGGACCTTGGGCATTGCCGGGCACTCCCCAGAAGATCAGTCCTGATCGAAGACACATTGGTGATTTCCTGCAGTGCACTTCTTCACTGCAAGCAACTGTGCTATATACACTCCTGGCTTCCTGGCACTAAGTACCAGTAGCAATTTCTTTTTCTCCTCAAGACACCTCAAAGTGCCTCACACATTTCTAAGCAGTGCCTTCGATGGCAATCTTTGCCCTGGCTAATAACCAGTACAGGAAGCATTTCCACTCCTGTTTCAGCAGAAGCATTGCAGAGACCTTCAAGAAAGATGTTGGTACTGTTTTTGGCTCCAGCTTGGTTTGTCAGGGGGTCTTTCAAGAACCAGTATGTGTGCATCACTCTGTCACACCAGAACACTAATATGACATGAGAGAGATGGCTCCAAGTTTCCATCCAGATAATAGTGGAATTATCCTCCTAAAAGGGACTTAGAGCTCAGACCATCATTTTTTCTGCACCCCTGGAAGCACACCTGCTCCACCCATCAATATTTGATGGCTATTGAAGGGAAGACAGAACAGACATGCTGTCAGAACTTATCAAGGAAAGAGCAAGAAGCAAGCTTGAACTTGCATTGGAATTGCCCAGGGGAAGTCTGAGTAATTGGGAGATTGCTCCCTCTTCGTCTAGCAGAATCTGATGTAAACAGCCAGTGGTGGGTGAGGGAGATCTATGGATGAGCAGGGGAGGTTGGAAGACGGGGAGAGGGTGATTCCATGTGCTATAAAATCAGGCACAGGGAAAACATGTCTAAAATAATATGCCCAGCGTCTGTGATTTCTGTCTCAAGTTTCAGCAGCTACAGCTCATTTCATATGTTACAGTTAATAGAGATTGCTGGCCCTTCCTCTGGGTTACTTTTCCTGACACCCCTATTCACCCGAAGCTGGTTTAGGCATCCTTCTCCTACTGTACTTCAGATCACTCTCTGATTCCTTTTATAATATACGTGTTTACACTCTTGGTGTGTGGCCAGTCTTCAGGGATAAAAGAAAAAGGTAAAGAAAGAGTTGCTGTAAGATCAGAGGTAAAAGTTGGAATAGAATTCAAAGCCTCTAACTCTCTCATGTGCTTTTTCTCTGTGGCTTTCTCATCAGCTTGCTCTGAACTTATGTTCTGTTGTTTTTGGTTATTTCTTGATACATGTCCCATCTTCACATATAATTTACATGTGTCTGTAGTTGTGGTGGTAGTGAATACAGCTATCCAGCTGAGTATTTTAAAATCAAGGAGTTTGTGGCAGTGAGCATCTATGTTGGGCCCAGTGCTCTCTAGAGACCTGTGTGGAAAGGAGGGAGTCACGAAACCACCCATCAACATTCCCATGACACAAACGGTGTGCCAGGCTAAGCCTGTGCTAAATACAGGACATTAACAAAGAAAAGAACGTGCTATTCAGACAGAAGCTCGTGACAGGGAAAGGCAACATAATGAAGAGCTCTATAAAATAACACATCTGGAAGTACCTACAAATGAAATAGAAACTTAGCATAAACCTACGGAGAAGCTTAAAGAGGCAAAGAATGAGACACATTTCGAAAATAAAGTAGCATTAAAGGCATTTTATGAGCTATTTAAGAAGCATGCATGGCCCATGTCTCCTTCTTGGGAAGGGCCTCCTTTGTTCATTTCTGACATGTTTATGTCCAGTGATTTTTTCGCCACCAAGCCACAGATTTGTGGGTACCTGATTCAAGCTAAGCCAATTAGAATTTCTCCCTTCTCAGCACTGGAATTAAAAGACAAAAATGTAAACAAAAGATTCGGGAACTGGAGCGATAAGGCCAGGGCAAATCCAGAGGTGGTAGACATTTTCTGTCACTGATGACTAGGTGGTGAAACCAGTCTGCATAGAGAAGGTACGAAAGAAGGAGAGACAAAGAATGGCAGAGGTGAGAGACAATGTGGCCCCACACACACACACACACACACACACACCCCTACACACAAAGGTTTGAGATCTGAGGTTCAGCTATGTTGCCTGCTATTGGGGTCTACACACAGGATCCCTGGCTGTGACAGTCATGTCATCCCAATCCCTTATCTTCAGAGGGGAAACAGTCCTACAGAAAAAAAGATGATATATTTACACTCTAATTAATCATTCAGGCCAGGCATACAGATCTGAGTTGTCTATGCTACTAGCTGGGTTTTATAGTAACGGAACAACCAGTTTCAAAAGAGGTTGCTGATGTTTCTCCTGATTCCTTATTCCAGGTCCAGGAAAGCACATCCCAGTCAAAGAAACTTACAGAAGACAACTGTAGTCCAAGATTCTGAATGGATGCCGAGTCGCCAAGTAATTGGGGAAAAATGTGTGTGTTTATGTGTGTGTGTCTATATTTTCACCTACTCAATTTTGCAATGTGGCATTTAAACACTATATCTACAGGTCAAAAATTATTGCTTTTGGTCATAGGTCACAAAGTTTAAACTAAAAATACCACTTATTCATTGCAAATGCTCCATTTAATTCCTGGCCCAATATCTGATCTATTAGAAACCCAGCTTCATGACAATCTGCCCAGGAGAGTCTTTTTCCCCCTGACTCTCACTAGATCTCCTAGATCTCCTACTGCCTCTATGTAATCCAATCTGTCTCACTGGCCCCAAACTGAAATAGGGTCCTGAAGTGCTCTCTACAGAAATAAGAGGAGCCTTTATCCTAACTAGACCTCTGACTGCTCTGAACAACCAGCTCCTCCTGGGAGTCTGCAAACCAGGTAACTGTCCTTGCTCAACCAGAGTTTCCAGGATCTCCTGGCAAATCTTTGTTCCTCTCTGCTGGACTTTTAATCTCCTCTGGGCCTTCCTTTCTCCCTTGCCAAGTCTGAGTCCTGTAGTTGATCATCTAAACTCTCCTCCCTCCAGCATTTTCAACACTCTCTCATTCCTGTTATTCTGCCACTCCCCACTCATAAAACCCCAAGCCTAGCATGTGTTGTTTACTCCATGCCTTCACCTCAGCAGCTGAGTCCAGGTGTTTGGACTGGCACTAATGCACACTTAAGGTGATAATCTCAGCTGGCTGTTTGGCAATGTCCATTGGTCCTTTTCCTTGTGCTTATCAGCAGCTGCTATCATTAAATCCAATTGAATCTACTCTCAGAACATGACTGAACCTCCTATATTATCAGGGATACCCGATGACCTCACATCCCATTTACCTCAATTCTCTACTAATTCCTTACTCCTACCACACTATCTACATCTATACTGGGTGATATGTCTTCCAGCCCACAGAGAAAGTGATTCTTTTTCTGCTCAAGGATAGCCTATTCACCTGGGCCCCCTCTTAAACCTTTAACCATGGGAGAACCACAATATTTCAGTTATCTCAAGATATGGGGTAGTTTTAGCCTCTTCTTTCCTATTGATTCACTGTCTTGAGCCTAAAAACAAACTCAAGTCTCCTGTAGCTGAACTCAATCAATTTCTGAGAGAATAAAGCTCAATGCCTCAAAGCATCAATTGCATCTAATGAACTAACTTTGCACCTCTGCATCTAAACGGAAACTGTGCTTGCTAGGTTGCCCACAACCAGAAACCTATTAATAGATGACTCTCCAAGAAAAAAAGCATTTACCAATACTCATGGTATAAATACTCCCACCACAGTTGATTTCAAGCCACCAATATGATGTTATGAAACACAGAATTGGGAAGAGATGTGGACACTATTATATAATATTTCCACCATCAGATATAAGAGGCATAAATGACCTTGAGATCATACATAGTAATAAAATGTATGAAAATAATTCAGAAGTGATGAGTTTTGAGTATTTATTACCTCTTTTTAAATGATTAATTTTATTATAAGTTTATATCGTTGGATTATTAATCATAGCTTCCCTTAACAACTGACTTGCAAAATTCTAAAAATTTAAGAAGCAGCTCTAACAAGCCAGTAGCAATAGCTCCAACATAGCATTGGGTCAGGCTGTTAATGAACTCCCTTCTTCTTGAAACCTGATTGCTTCTATGCATCCTGCAATTCTACTTTGTCTGCAGTCTCTTCATGTCTTTTTAGTGGTGTCTTTTTTGTTCTCTGTGAGGTCTTTCTCTGCTCTCTGCCTAAGAAAATCGGTGCTACCAAAATTTCTGTATTCAATCAACTGATCTCACATTGTATACACTCTTTGATAGCTCTCCTTTATTCCTATTTTAATTTTGGCTAATAGTACCATTATTCACCCAGATGATTAAGGCAGACCACTGCAAGTCATCGTTGAACATTTCCAGTTCTTTCATATCCCACAATCATATCTTATTTTACATCCTAAATATACCATGTAGCCTTTCCTCTGCTTCATTCCTGTGACAGTTGTTCTAATGCAGGCCCTTATCTTACTAAAACAGTTTTCAAATGAATCTAGATTTCTCCATTCTTGTCTATTCTCCTCAGCAGCTACCATAGTGATTTAGTAAAATTTATATATAATTATGACATTTCTTGATTAAATCCTTTCAATGGCTCCCCATTACCTACTGCATAATTACATTACAACATAAATCCATTCTTTATTTGGCCTCTGCCTAACCTCACCAGCCTCATCTTTCACTACTTCCTTCTTTATTTATATTTTATGCTTTACCAATATCAAAATGATAATAATTGCCTCCACAACCAGCTCCTGCCCTCCTCTATGATTTAACTCAAGCTATAAAATTTTTGTTCCTGGAATACCTTGCCCCATCAGTTTTCATCTGTCCATATCTCTATCCAATTTTAAGTCTTAGATCAGATACCACAATACCATCTCTCTTCCAGGAAAACATTCCTAATCCCCTATTATGGACTAAGTGTCTGGGGCAGCATGAAAACGAGACAGTCACATCACCTGCTCTGGGGCATATGATGGACTGATGGCCCCAGATCCTACCCCTTTGGATACGCCAGTGTATCCCTGTTGAGGTCATGTTCTGTGCAAGTTGCTACAGGCCAATTACAGAGTATACTGGAGAAACTAAGACACTCCCATTCTTATGGGAAGCAGTATTCCTCCAGTGAATGACTTTGATTTGCCCTGGCTGAACTTTTCTGGAATTACAGTGCAGTCTAAGATACTTTATTTTCCAAGTCTCCTTCCTTCCCTCTCCTTCCACAGGTGTAAGTCAGCAAAGTACCTCCACATACCATACACACACACCCAAGGATACAATCATACGCATAATTTTAAATTATGTATTGAATTCTGATTCTTTTCACGCATTATTTTTGAGATAGATAATTTTTCTGAAATGGAGACTAGTATTCTGATTTTGCAGATGGAGAGACTGATGCTTCAACAGATGAGGCATTCTACTGAAAGCCACAAAACTGATGACAGAGCAAGAGCTTACACTCAGGTGTTTTGAACCTTCACCCCAACATCTCTTGCTCATTTTTGGGTCACCAACTCCCAGATATCATTCAAGTAGAAACTGGATGACTTTCTGGCAGAAGTGTTACTGAGCAGATTTATTCTAGGGGTGAAGGTGGGACTGAATGCCAGGTGGCTCCTCTTCTCATTCTGTATCTCCAGGAGACACTTAGCCCTTGCTTCTGTACTGAAACCTACAATGAAATTCAATCCCCTGCTGCAGACTCTGAATAGTAATTGCTATTATAGGCAGGAAACATAACAATGAAAACATTTAAACCTCCTGTTGTTAAGAATCTTTAGGTCAATAGCAGCATTTTAAAATCAATTTGAGCGTTTGCTGGAAGATACAGAAAAGAAACTACAATCAACATAGTAAGGTTAGATAACCCTAGTCATGTTAACAGCTACCTAAAACTTGACATCAATTCCTTACATTGATTCTCATTTACAGTTTACAAAAAAAAAAAAAAAAGAAAGAAAAAATTAGGAAGGACAAGCATAAAAATAATCTCAATGAAGCATCAAATTAGTATAAATAATGATGAAGAGTAATTGCTGCTGTTACTGGAGAACATGTTGTAAATGAGGTTTTCAAGATATCTGCTAATGATGAGAGGCTTTTGCAGTTTTGAAATTCAGAGAAGGAAAAGCGAAACTGGAATTCACGGCGCTAGATATAGGGTCAGATTTGTCCTCCCCCAGGAGTAGCTGCTTCATCAGATTTGGGGGGACTAGTGCCACCTGGTGACTAGCACTGTGCTAGGCATGGCAAGGGTTACAAAGATGGGCGGTAAGTATTAAGTTGGTGCAAAAGTGATTGTGATTGACTTTTGCAATTACTGCAATTAGTTTTCTGCAATTACTTTTGCTCCAACCTAATAGAAAGCTGAGCCCAAAGTCACAATCTTGTGTTTGCAGCCTGCCTCCACCAGTTATAAGATTATCTGACATTGTTTCTATCTCTGTCTTCTAGCTATCGATAGATATACATATGTAAAATATGTATATTATATATATATGAAATATATAGCATGTCATCACCAGATATTATGTATACATAAATGCATTATATATAATGTATATTTTACTTACTGATTTATATTCTATCTTCTCACACCAGAGTGTAAGTTCCAAGAGGGGTAGGAGTATTGATAAGCTAACATACTCCTAGCTTCTAGAATAATAGAAAAGTATCCAGTACATAGTAGGCACTTGATATTCATGGAATCAATTTCTTACCTGTTAAAAGTTCCTTATGTAGTTTTCCCACCTTTAATTACCCCTTGATACTTTACCAACATCTGTTCTTCGCATTGTTACCAGAGTCACTGTTTAAGAAATAAATCAATTGCCTTTCCTTCGCAATAAAAAAAGGAAAGAGATGTGGTAGTAAGTGAATGAGAAAGAAATTTTTCTAAAAATGAAAATCCGATGGTGTCGCCCCTCTGCTGAAAACAATGTAGTGTTTTCTTATTGCTCTTAGGATTAATTCCAACTTCCCTAACATAGCTTGCAATGCTCCCCAGCTAATATTTCTCCTTCCATCTCATTTTTCTTTTTGGATATTTCCTAAACATGCCACATAGTTTTTTTTTGCGTTTTTGGCTTCATGTGGATGGTAGTCTTTCTGCAATACCCATTTTCAATCTTCAGGTTGCTGATGGAATACTGATGGAGTACTAAAAGTTCCAAGTTAAAAGCTTCCAAGTCTGTGGAAATTTGCCAAATCCCCTTCAGGGCTATTTAATCTCTTCCTTCTCTTCCCCAATGCTTCACGGCTATATTTTTGTTGGAGAACTTAAATTACAATATAATCTGGCTCCTCAAAAGACTCTGAGGTCATCACATCATCACCTGGTCATCAACACATCATCATCCAAGAAGGAGCACAAGTTCCTAGCAAAACAGAAGGTGCTCTGTAAAGGTTTCTTGAATAAATGGCTAAATTTATAAGAAGTCAGATGTATGAGAACAAAACTGTATACTAATATCCCAAATAGACTGATGGTTATAAAAATGTAAACCTGTATGTGACTGATTTCAGTGATTTTTACAAATAACTATTCTCAATAATGAAATCTGCTGTTATATTTTATTTTTGTTATAAAGAAAAACAACTCAAAATATCCAGAGGTCCTTGGTAAGGCAGAATGCAGCCAGATGGCGCAGGTAAAATAAAGACAAGCAGAAGAGATGAGTCTGTTCGGGCTTGGGTTTAGTGCCTCTGAAATAAATTTGTCAATGTTCTAACTGACAATAAGGGTCATAAGCTTTCCCTAGCTTAATTTTACTTCCTGCTGTTTACACCAGAGTGGAGTTATGGTGTAAATTTCTATTTTAATTATAATCTTGGTCATAAGAAATCATTCAGCCCAGAACTCCTAAGTATGAGTGGTTTTTTAAAAAGAGTCTAGATCTGGTGTCAAGAGATGTGGGTTTAAATCCCATCTCTGCCACCTAGTGTGAACTTGAATAATTCATTTATATAAGCCTCAGTTGTCATATCTATAATAATTTCAGAGTTTCAGCTACAATTCAGATGTTTGTAAGTAAGTGACAGTCTGGGGGTCTGAGGTCTGGGTCTACTTGGGGTTAAGTTCATTAAGCTGATTAGCAGAGAAGCTTCTAAACCCACTCCATATCTACCTCTTTGGGCATAGAGAAAGGGCAGAAGAAGCAATATTACAAAACCTGTATCTCAAGTCGGTGATCCACCATTGGTGTCTTCTGAGGGCTTGTTAGAAACGCAAATCCTCAGGCCCCATCCAAGACCAACCCCATCATGAGTTCTAGGGGGATGAAGATCTGCACCTATGTCTTTAGAAAGCCCTCTGTATGATTCTGATGCACACTAAAATAGGAGAAACAAAGTCCTGGAAGAAAGGCGGGAAGCTAGTTTTTGCTGTCTGAGGTTGGCTTCCTTGCCTACCCTCTTGGCCTCATGCTGAA
This sequence comes from Homo sapiens, assembly GCF_000001405.40. Classification (NCBI taxonomy): domain Eukaryota; kingdom Metazoa; phylum Chordata; class Mammalia; order Primates; family Hominidae; genus Homo; species Homo sapiens. Next base: position 80,323,180 of record NC_000011.10, read on the forward strand.
GCCTAGTAGACAGGGTGCAGGCAGAAACTGGAGGAGTGTTCACTCCAGCATTTCCCAACTACTGCTCCCTCTTTTTATACCTAAAAAATGTAATCCCCACCTTTAGTGTTTTATAAATATGCATTAAGTTTCACCATAAAGCAAATGAATAGTCCACAGCACTGCTTTGCTCTCTTCCTTCTCATGACCTCCTGGAGATTCTTACATGCTCCATCCTAGGGAATCTAAATTTTCTCCCCATCCTCAACCCCAGAAACTCATGTATGTATTCTGAATACCTGCTCTATGCCCATACATTCTTTCTCATTTCATATTTACCGTTACCTCTCACAATACTACAACCCGCTGGCCCAGTTCCATCCCAAAGGCCTAAAAAAATTACCAGACACTTGTAGTCTTTCTTCTCTAGAAGCAATGCAGTTTCATCCTGGGGAAATTTTAGGAGCATCCTCTTTACCTGGAAGGGTGGTTTGGCAATAACTATCTACTTTCTAAGGGTCAGAGCACACAGAGGATAATAATACTGTTTTCTGCACCTTTGTTTTGATTGGCCATGTAGTTAGTTATCGCAAGAAGCTTCAAATACACTCGAGCTATTAGTTTCATATGCCATATATAAAATAGCTCATTTGTGGTAGAGCCCGTCTCACTTGACTGCATTTCTTTTCCGGGTGAAAGGTGCTGATGAGAGTAAGGTATGAAACAAAAGGTATGGCCCAAACTTGACACTCATACAACCTAAATAAGAAGCAACTCATAGAATAAAAAATCATATAATTATACCAATATCAATGGGAATTAATGCTAGGCTTGGCACTACAGAAAGAGACTGTGTGAAAAGAAAGGAAGCTGATGCTTTAAGTGATCAATTTATACTGTTTTTGATTCCATGTACTAAACATTAAACTGTAGTATTATTTCTAAGTAATAAGTGCATACCACCAAATTGAGATAATTTTGTCTAAATCATTCACTGTGGACAAATTGGTCACTGAGAGGAGCAACAAAAATACCTGGGACTGTGAGGTGGAAAATATAATCACCAATCCCAGTTTACAAAAGAGGACATCAGGGAACAAAGAAAATGGACTTGCCCAATACCATGAAATTCCTAAGAGAAGTATGTTAATAGTGTCAAACCTCCCCAAAAAATGGGATTTGGAATTAGTTTTCCATACTATGATCAATATAGAAATCTGAGATAAGCTTAGGAAACCTGTCTCCCAAGCATTCTCCCAGTTCCCACCTTGTTGTTCACATCGTATGTCTGAGCTTTTTCCGAGTGTCCTACTTTTGCTCCCGTTCCCATCTCTAGCATCAGAGCCCTTCACTGAGGCTTGGCCTACTCCACTGGGGCTCACACTTCCCAGTCCTCAACTTCAAACTGGAAGGAACAGCAGAACAGATGCTGCCACATTGAGCGATGTCACTTTAAAAGAGAAGAAGAGAAAAAGAAAAAGAAACACCTACATCCCCAAACAAGAACCGCCCTTAGATGTTAAAGCTTGTTCAGCTCAAACACAAGTTGCCAAGTCACATAGGATTGGGACTGGTTTCCTTTAGACTCCATGCACCAAGCCTTGCACCAAATGCTTCCCCTTGACTGAGCACACCACAGGTTTCCCCTGTGGAACATATGTTCAACACAAGGAACATAATTATCAGTGACCAGTGCTGTTGTCCAAAGAAAGAGATTCCATTTCGTTCTTCTGAAATTTATTTTCTTTTAAAACACAGAAATACACCAGAATCAGAAAGTTTTTCAATGATTTGTGAGATGCCTATTACAGTATTTTCTAATAAAAGGTATAGAAATAAATTTAAAAGAAGTGACCAAAAATTCAGATCCCAAAGAACTGTCACTTGCACTATTGCCCTTACCTTTTAATAAAAGGAAAGATCAAGTATTACAACCACATCTCCTCACTCCTTTAGCAAAACAGCTACTGCCAAGAAAATGATTAATTGGCTGTTACTTATTTGACTCTAATGACTGAGTTTCAGGGCAATCATAAGCATTTTGAATCATCGGCTTATTTCTTAGTACAACCAGTTTCAAACTCAATATAGGGCTTTCTGAAATGCTGGACAGAATGGCGCAGGTTGAAGGAGACCAAAAAATTCACCCAAAAATATACGCCTTTGACATTTTGAGATGGCTGTTCAGAGGGCCTGCAGACAGAAATAGTTCTACAAAGCTGTCTTTTGTGGGGGAGATGTGAATTTGTAGAGAAAATCTGCATTGATACAGCCGGCCTGTCTCTGAGGCCCTCCCTTGTCCAGATCTAAGAAAGATTAACTGAGAGTCTCACACCTTTAGAGGTCCAAAAAAGAACAACAACAACAATAACTACAGCAACAAACATTTACCATCTATTCTCTTGAGGGCTGCTACCTGTGAGATTTCGTCTATCAAACAAGACCCCTTTGTAAGGCCTTCTCTTCTCTCCCTTCCATAGCCTGTCTTGACGCTATAACCTGATTTACTGCCGTAACCTGTTTCTGACCGTACTTCAAGCCCCTATTCTTTCAGTAACCTCAACATGTACAAGCTTCTGTATCCTATCATGGGGTGGAGTTATCACTCTTTGGTTCTCCCCTAGGCATGCTAATACATTCTAATGCCATTTCTCCTATTAATCTGCCTTTTGTCAGTTTATTTTTAAGCAGACCTTCAGAGGTTAGGAGGAAGTTTTCCCTTGGTCCCTACAAGGCACTGTCTCAGTAGCTGAGAGTTCCGGGTGTTTGTGCTGGCTCTGTTCCACACTGTGTATCACTTCCTCACTTTGGGACTTAAAATGAAGATGGAGTTGAAAACATAAACAGATTTAAACTCCATTGATGGTGGGCTGGGTGCTGTGGCTCATGCCTGTAATCCCAGCACTTTGGGAGGCTGATGTGGCCAGATAGCTTGAGGTCAGGAGTTCAAGACCAGCCTGGCTAACATGGTGAAACCCCGTCTCTACTAAAAATTAAAAAATTAGCCAGGCTTGGTGGTAGGCGCCTCTAATCCCAGCTACTCGGGAGACTGAGGCAGGAGAATCACTTGAACCCCAGAGATGGAGGCTGCAGTGAGCCAAGATCACACCACTGCACTCCCTGCTGGGTGATGGAGGGAGACTCAATCTAAAGAATAAATTAAAAAATAAACAAACAAACAAACTATATTGATGGTGGTAGGGGTGGCATTGGGCAATATACAAAAATAAATGCTCAGTAAATATTTGTGGAATGAGGTAAGGGAAGGAAGGAAGGAAATGAGGGAGGGAGGAAGGAAGGAAGGAAGGAAAGGAGGGAGGGAGGAAGGAAGGAAGGAAAGAAGGGAGGAAAGAAGGGAGGGAGGGAAGGGAGGGAGGGAAGGAAGGGAGGAAGGGAGGGAGGGAGGGAAGGAAGGGAGGAAGGGAGGGAAGGAAGGGAGGAAGGGAGGGAAGGAAGGGAGGAAGGGAGGGAAGGAAGGGAGGAAGGGAGGGAAGGGAAGGGAGGGAGGGGAGGAAGGGAGGAAGGGAGGAGAGGGGAGGAAAAAGCAGGGAGTTAGAATAGCAGAATAGCTGAAACTCCTTGAAGTTCTCCCAGGTAGTGAAAACAGCATAGACCATATATCATCTTTAACAACCTCATTCCATAGCAGCAGTTCTCAACCAGCTGCACATTAGAATCACTTGAGTAACCTACAAAATCTTGATGCCATGACTGTACCTTAAATCAATTAAATCAGAACCTCTAGGGATAGCCCCCACGCCAGAGTATTTTTTAAAAGCTACCCAAGGGTTCCAATGTGCAGCCAGGGTTGAGAATCAGGGCTCTCTAGACAGCATGCCTCTGGAATCAATCTCTGACTAATAACTGGTTGCCATGGAAATTTATCCACCAGCTGGGTGAGCATTGTCCAACCTCCAGGTTACTTTCAAAACTAAAAATAACTGATACTTTCAATCATTGGAATAATAAATCCTTTTATGACCCACAGAAAAATGAAAAGTATTGCAATACGACCCGCTCTTCATATACATCCATTCAGTTCTTCTCAGTGGATCCCTCAGTTGATACTGAGTCCTAGCTATAAACTAAACAGCATGAGAAAAACCACTAGACATTTGTTTCTCATTTGCTGAATAGGATCACCTGTAAGGGTGCATCCAGCTGTTATGTATTTATGTCAGGCATGGTAAAGTGGAGGATGTGTGGACCACAGACTTATCAGGCCTCGATTTGTGTCTTGTCTCTGTCACTTATTAGTTTGTGACATTGGGTAAATCACTTAACCTGTAATAGGTTCACTTTCCTTATCTGTACAATGGGGATATTAATACAATGGAAATCTTATTTTTCTTTCCTTTTTTGCAGAAAGAATGAGACGTGTTACTTTGTAAATTTCAACTATCATATCATAACACATCTATAATATATGTTTCTTCCCTCCATTGGCATCAATAAAGATGATAGAAAAATCCATGTGTTACATTTTTTGAGGGATTGAAAGCAATTTTCATCTTGTGTCTTGCTAAATGCTAAGTGCCCTGATAGTAAGTTCAAGTCCCTCAGAGATCCTTCTTATGAACAAATTATACAGTCTACCCACTGGGGTTTGGCAACTGAAATGGTTGGAATCCCCTTGTTCTGGTAGGGAGCATAACCATATCATGAAATCACTCACTTGCTGAACACCTCCTACATATGATCCTGCAATTGACAAGTGCACCTCAGTGTTGTTACAGATGCTCTGTTACCTAAAAAGAAAACTTAAAGTGAGGAAAGAAAAGAGCAAAACAATTCATTTTCTATCTAATTAAAGTCATTATAAACAGCCTCGTGGTGCTTAACCTTTTTCCTCCAAAATCCCAATGTTTCAGCTGGTTGCTCAGATGTGGAGCTTCACTGAGGTTTTCCTTAATTGCCTTTCCATCACTAATGGGATTCACTTCATTATTACCTCTGCCAAAAGCTGCCTCCAACTTTCAGCCCCCATGCTGGGCTATTTACATGCCTATTCATAATGCACATTTTCACTGAATGCTGAAGTCATGCTACCTCAAAGTTTACCAAGCTAAATTGGAGTGTGCCCCTTCTAAGTCGGAACAACCTACTTAAATAATACTTTCTTACATATCTGTCAACTCTCTCCAAACCCCTCCTCTGTTCATTCATGACCCTTATTTCCCCTTCTCACTTTCTTCCTGGATTTCCCCCTTCTTACTTAGATTCCTTTCTCTCTTCCTTCCTTCCTGGATTCCTTTCTCCCCACTGTGTCCCCATTCAGTATCCATTTACTTCCTACACTCATCCTTACATCATCACAGAGCCATCTTACTCTTTCAACCACATCAATAACCTCCCCACCTCTGTCTTCAGTGAGCAGCTATTTTTCTATCGTATTTTATTTAACCCCAATAAAATTCTGTGAACGAGGTCTAATGAATCCTAATTTAAAGGTGAAGGAACTGAAGGTTATGAAAGGAAATAGGGTGATGAAGATCATGCAGTTTACAATGACCAAGGTAGAGCGGGACCCAGTCCATAACCTCGGGAAAAAGAACAAGACCACAGAAATCACGTGTCATGTCACAGAATGAGAACCATCCAGAGAGCAGCAGTGCTCAGCTGGAGTCTCTCTGTGAAGCAGAGGAGCAAAAGCAGCAGGAATAGAGATCTACAACTCCCCATGCCTTGTTCTTTTGACCCTTCTCTAACCAAACCTCTTCAAACAGCACATTAAGTTAGAATTATTGGAGTCTCCTCAAAGAGAATGACTGAGTAGGTTCTCAGAAGAAGAGACACAGTCCATAATACATGAATATGCATGGTCAGACAGAAGATCTGTTATGAGATGAAGCTGCGGGATTGGGCAGTGCTAATCCCAGTGCAATGCAGGAAGATGAGGTTCCAACCAAAGGACATTGCCTAAAAGCACCCCACTTGCAACAAAAGTAATAACAACAACAATAAGAACAGCAAGAATTCCATATATTAAATGTTTGTTACCATTATTCTTTTATTTTTAAAAAATCACATTGCTTTTTGTTTTGGAAAAAACAAAACGAAACACGTATCTTATGATCGATGTGCACACTCAATTTAGCTAAGTTTCTTTGTGTCTGAAAAACTGCTACTAAATTTGACAATGCTCCTTATAACCAGTGACATTGAAGAATCAAGAGACCCTGACATGCCCAAAACTGTGCTAAGCCCTTCACATATGACACATCGTTGTATTCCCACAACTCTATGAGGTAGGTCATACTAATATTTTTATTTTACCAGTGGGAAAACCGAGGCTGAATAAGGATCAAATATTTGCTAAATATAACATGGCTAGAAGTGGCAGAGATGAGAGTCCAACCCTGGTTTATCTAATTCTACTATCCATGCTTTAACCACTTTCCTCCCTTGACTAAAGTGGGATAGAGAGCCTCAGGCAAGAACATAACTTAATATCACAGTTTTAATTGTCCTTGTTCTTTTCTCTTTTCAACAATTATCCTTTTATTAAATATTTTATAGGGTGTCTCATAAAAATACATGAGTTTGTGGGATGATTTATGCTGACTTGAACTTCCAGTAGTTGTGTCTGTCATTGTGGATTAATACAATGGCATTCTAATCTTATACAACAATCTCCATGAGTTTTGTTAATGTGAATCTCTCTGAGAGAAGGAGCCATCTTCCTAGACAATGAAGCCAGCTAGGTGCCTCTAGGAACCCCCTCTCACCTCTCCTTCAGTTTTAGGCATCCGTTTTCAGTTCTGCCGTTCCAATTGCACTGTGCCTGGGACTTGGTCTAACCAAGCGGGGAGCACATCCACGTGTAAGGTTGGACACAGGAATCACACTGATTTGTAAGCATGCTGAGAAAAGTCAGCACAAATAGAATCTCCTAGCTTTTAGAAAAAGACTCATTTTCTAATGAAGAAAAAATCCAGAGGGCAGCTCCCATTACTGTGGACATCTACACGAGGCAGGGATCAAGACGTCTGTTCAACCTAGAGCCTCAGGTGCTAGCTCCTTATAGTAGCAGTCTGGGTTTATGCTGCAGCAGAGAGGGCGAAGTCTTTGATGACCATGTCAGGCTGCTGGGAGCTCACCCTGCCATTTGTCTTCCTGTGCATTCTCTTGTCCTCGCCAGGACTCTGCCTATGTGATCAAATCTAGCTGGTGGACACGAGCAGCCCCTAATAGCCAATGAGCCACATACAAAAAATACAACGTGCACTGATGATGTGACACAGGGGTCACTTCTCAATAATATGACTGTGGCAATCATACACTGCAGGAAGGAGTTACAGCTTATGGGGAAAAGTACTGGATCAAGAGTTCTGAGAAGCAGCATGACTCAGCCAGGCTTATGAGTCAGGCTTATTGGGGTTCAACTCAGCTGTACCACTCACTCTTTGTGTGACCTTGGACATATTCTACACATGTTTTTATTCTATCATCTGCAAAAACAGATAAAATAAAGCCTAGCTGTTAAGGTTAATTTGATTGCTAGATGATTAAAATGCATAAGCATCTGGGTTAGACATATGCAAGCAAAAAATCTTACTTTCTTTCTAAAATCTCTACTCAATCCCATCTCATTTCTTACATGAGAAAACCAATGCCCAGAGAGGGGAACAGCTTTCTCAAAGTCACACAGTCGATTCCTGGTAAAGAGTGGTGCACCAGATAGTGCACTGGATCTGAAATCAGGAGAAATAAGTTTGAATCCCAACTTTACTTTTTCATGTGACACTGAGAATGTTACTTAACTTCTCTAAGCCTCAGTTTCCTGGTATATATAAAGGGGAGTAGTAATGCTGCTCTTCCTGATTCACTGGTATATTTTCATCTTGTGTGCCATTAAGAAAGGAAAATGTCCAAGCGAAGGAGTCTAACGGAAGCCACTCACATAGGTCTGGAATACCAAAGGGCTATGCCCTCAGTGTAAGGGAAATAATGAGAGACACCCAGGAAATGTGCTTGTCTCAGTGTTGGTAGTGATGTGGGAAGGTGGTCTCTCTTAAGAATTAGCCGCAGTTACTCGGGAGGCAGATGTCAGAATTGCTTGAGCCCATGAGCTACGATTGTGCCACTGAACACCAGTCTGGGTGACAGCGAGACCCTGTCTTACAAAAAAAAAATTGAGCTGTAAGTTTTCAGGCCAGCTTTGCCTTCTGTATTTACGCTGTCAGTACGTACCACCTCCCGGCTTCTGCCACCAAAAAAAAAAAAAAAAAATTCTCAAGTAGATAATTTAAAGTGGGCTCAGGTTGACAGTGCCCCCACGTGACTGGAAGTAAACTTCTCTAGAAGAAGTTTAATAGCGGCACACAGATCAGATTTAGGAATTTGTAAGATTCATCCCAAATTTAATGATGTTAAAAAGTATAAAAAGATGTGCAGCAGCCAGGCACAGTAGCTTACACCTGTAATCCCAGCAATTTGGGAGGCCCAGTCAGGAGGATCACTTGAGCCCAAGAGTTCAAGACCAGCCTAGGCAACATAGTGAGACCCCATCTCCATAGAAAATTTAAAAAATTAGCCAGATGTGGTGGTACACACCTGTAGTCTCAGCTACTTGAGAGGTTGAGGTAGGCAGATTGCTGAGTCTGGGAAAGATGTACATCTTAGAGTTAAGGAAATATGGTAGATATGGTTGTATCTCTTTCATATTATTTTAAGGAATAATGACAGCATATATGTAACACAGTGCCAGACAAATAAATAAATAAATAAATAAATAAATAAATAAATAAATAAAGAGGCCAGCTCTGCCTCTTCTCACTTATGACCTTGAGTGGGTCACTTAAACAGGAGGATAAGATCTGTGGTTCCTAAAGTTCTCTCTACTATTGCTTTAATGATTCATCTTAAAATAGTCCACATGCCTTTATTTATTCACAATTATTTATTTCTGTCAGTTTTCATGTTTAAATTGAGCCACATTTAATTGTACTTGAAGTGTCCTACAACAGTTTAATAGCTCACTTTTCAACAAGTTAAGTGAAGTCAAAGTTTCCATGAAATTCCTCTTTATCAGCTAACATTTTGTTCTAATCATCTGATATTGTTCATTATTTCCTTTCACATTGAAATGTATGATTATGCCAACATTCTCCTGCTTTGGAATGTAGTCCTAGACAAAGAAGGCAAAGGTATCCCAGAAGAAGCCATTTTTCCATGCCCAAATTCTAATAATGAGGATGGTAATCAGTTTGCCATCTTTTGTTTCATACCTCAGTAAGAGATTTCTGGAGGGTTTCATTTATTAATGATGACAAAAGGGGAATATCCACATTTCCTCACTAATTATCCATAACTATTTAGGGAAAGACAAGAGGGTGTTTTTGATGAAGGAAGGAGAGCAGAGTGCTGAGGAAGAATGAGGACTCAGCCAGTCTCCCGAAGAACAAGATGCCCTCCCATTCTTTCAGCACACCAGTGCTTCCTTAGGAGGCTATCTGCTTTCCTATTCCTTTGCCAGGGTGGGTTGGCAGGACTAAGTAAGAGCAACACGTGAAAGTATGATTAGAGTTTGCATGGAAGTCACATTCAGAGAAACTAATCTCAAAAACTTTCAACCAATCACACATGACCAAATATGGAAGTGTTTTTTCTGAAAGGAAGGGCCCTGGGTAGGAAGGAGATGAATAAAGTATAACGGTGTAGAAATTCACATTTAGCCATTTACTCATCCAGAGTATGAGTCCACTGTTTGAAATTCTACTATTACAGACCTTGATGATGGTTTCATCATTCTGATTCCTTCTACCAGATTTTAAATACTCTTAGTTGGTTACACCATGTGATATACACAGAAGGGACTCGACCCACCTTCAGTTGAACCCCAGCTGTCCTACTGACCACCCCTAGGGTCATAAAAAAATTGCTTAGCTTTTCTGAGTAGAGAATCATCAGCAGGGAAAACAACTACCTAAAACAATGCCTGGAATGTACAAGGTACATGGAAAAATTATATTTCCAAATCTTCTATCATGTTGAGACCAGAAAAACATAAAATGTTCTTTTTTAGAATTTATTTCAGGAAGGAACACCCTTGTTAGGAAGAGTGGCCATTAAGAAAGATGTAGTAGAACAGAAAAAGGTAGATAGAGGTGCACTGTGACTGTGTTACCTGGGTTTGGCTGCTTATTCTTTCTGAAACATGTAAACACAGGTAATTAAAATACCAGCACGCTCACTGAATTTGGGACATGCTGCTATAAACATTTCTGGGTAGCTTCTCCAATATCCATTTTCTTCTGCTTTGCTAACAAACCTCTGATTAAGTTCAGGGTGGCCATATGCCCAGCTTGAACAACAAAACTCCCCAGCCACCTTTTTAGTCTGTGACACAATTCTTAATTAAATTCTAAATGAAAGTCACTCCTTGGAGCTTTGGAGAAAACTTTTCAAATGCAGACCAACTCAGTTGGCATTCACCCTTTGTTCTTTGATCTTCTCTTCCTTCTTGTCTGGAATGTGGAGGCAATGATGGAGGCTGAGAGCCATATTGCAGCTCCAGTGAATCCTGGAGCCAGCATATCAGCCCTGGAATGCTCCCAGTTGCAGTAGAAAATTGAAACTGCAACTTGGTTAAGTAGCAGTTTTAAATTAAAACTGCTATAGTGGTTAAACCATTGTAGTTGAACTTCCATTGCAAAAAACTAAACGCACATAGTAAGTGACATAAGGTCTTTATGAAATAATAACATTCTTCTGCAGCATCGGACGTTCAGCATCAGACCTTAATAAATGTTACTTCCTTCTGTTTTTCTTGCCAGTTCAGAGAACACACACAAGGATTCAGGACAGAAGTTCTACTCAGGAGTAAGGGTTCTCCGCAACTATCTCAATTATGAACAGAGCAATAGCCAATGAGGGTGCAAAGCAGGAGATAAGAAGTGGAGGCCTCAACACCAGGAGAGTGGCAGTGGTATGCATCATGTCCTCCGTTTTACAAATGAGGAAACTGAAATTCAGCAAGCATAAGTAACTTACTAAGATGAGGTGGCCTGAAAATAGCAATCATCTAAGATTTAAGATTTAACCCTAGGGCATACTGACTCTGATGACTCTGTGCCCTTTTCACTGAGCCCTTCAGGAAGGGTACAGGTCCAGGAGAAACACGCATATTTTGTTTATCATCATACGTTTTAGATTTCTTTAGGACATTCATCTTTTAGTGAAATATGAAAAAAGAGACAGAGAATCTTTTCTTCATTATGTCTCCTCTGAAAATTTTCAGGCACACAGGAAAAACACGCTCACAGTTGTCAAAGAGAAAATTAGATGCAGACAGTTTTTGATAGGCCATGGATCATCATGGCTGTTTGGGTGCCCAAGAACCTGCAAGGGATGGTGCCAACAGCACATATCTAGGGAAAGTATTCTGGCCTGGGCTGTCAAGGTGGACCACTGAGGCTCAAAAACATAGCTCTCCCTTTTTTTTACCAGCTGTTTGATTAACCTTGGGTACATGTTACTGAGCCTCTCAGTGCCTCATTTTGCTTGAATGTAAAATAGAAATAATACCTAATTCATAAAGATGGCATAAATAGTAAACAGATTAACGTGATGAAAACGTTTAGTCTAGGCCAGGCATGGTAGCTCCTGCCTGTAATCCTCAGACTGTGGGAGGCTAAGGCATGAAGATCGCTTGAGCCCAGGAGTTCAAGACCAGCCTGGGCAACGCAGTGAGACTCTGTCTCTACAAGAAGTAAAATAAAATAAAATTAGCTGGGTATGGTGTCACACGTCCATGGTCCTAGCTACTTGGGAGGCTGAGGAAAGAGGATTGTTTGATCCCTGGAGGTTGAGACTGCAGTGAACCATGATTTTGCCACTGCATTCTAGCCTAGATGACCGAGTAGAACCTTGTCTCAAAAAAAAAAAAAAAACACACACAAAAAAGAGAATGCTCAGTCTAGTTCATATCGTAGGTACTCAATGAACCTTAGCATTATTTTTAGCCTTTACTTTTCTAGTCTACCACAAGAAGTATCAACAGAGTTTCAATCAGAAAAAATAAAACCGTATTATAAATATTCAGGAGAAAATCAAAACTATGTGTCCACATGTTTATGGAAAAAGAATGCTGTTGAAAACTAAGCATCTCAGCTGTTTCTGAGTTTTTCTCATTAACATTTGTTTGCTCTTTCTGATTCCCTTTGTTTCAGGCTATCACACAAGTGGTAGCAGGTGCCAAAGTCTAAGGGGAAAATATGGGATAAAAATTTAAATGGAATTACAAATATCTATTCATTAACCCTTTCTCTCACTGAAAATTATGAAGGAGTGTAAATAAGAAGAAAATAATTTAGGAAACCAGTGCTCATATGCAGAAGAGTCCTGCGATGGCTCCTGGAAGGTTGGGTTGAATCTGCCTGCCTGAGACAAAGAGCTTACAAAGGGGCCTGCAGCACCAAGTTATAGGTCCTAACACTCTGGGTTAGGTGTATGGTGACCAACCCGTTGTCCTAGTTGGGCTAGGACTTTCCTATTTTTAGCATTGAAAGTACTACATTCTGGCCAGGCGCAGTGGCTCAAGCCTGTAATCCCAGCACTTTGAAAGGCTGAGGAGGGCGGATCACGAGGTCAGGAGATCGAGACCATCCTAGACAACATGGTGAAACTCTGTCTCTACTAAAATAAAAAAATTAGCTAGGCATGGTGGTACATACCTCTAATCCCAGCTACTAGGGAGGCTGAGGCAGGAGAATTGCTTGAACCCGGGAGGTGGAGGTTGCAGTGAGCTGAGATTGCACCACTTCACTCCAGCCTGGTGACAGAGCAAGACTCTATCTCAAAAAAAAAAAATAAAAAGGAAAGTACCAAGTTATCTCAGTGTGAGAAAACCAGGATTTTTGGTCACCCTAGTGGGAATTAGATTCAGCAGAGAGTGAAATACTAAACCTCAATAGATACATAGACTTCTAGTAGACACTCAGCCCTCACCCCTACTTTCCATCGTGTGCCTTTGTTGACTGCTTAAGGAATTAGCCCCAATCCCTCAATCAGTTTAAACTACCAGGTCAGATGGAGCAAAATGCCAGAAGAGCGGTAACTGCTTCTCTTGGGCTGACTCTCCCTTACTCTTCATTGTTTGTGTGTCTGCAGAATGCATTTATGGGTGCGTTTTTCTCTCTACAAGCTAAACAGCTGACCTGCTCTAGTGATGGTGTCAGCAGCAGGGCAGCACAACCCTGAAACAAAGATTAACTGATGTGTATATTGCGAGTACAGGCAAGAGTATTCATCCTTGTATAACCAGAATGTCACGTACAAACTAAGTATGGTACCTTGGAAGTCACTGTCTACATAGATCAAGTAAATGAGATAGAAATATTTCTCATTACTTCTTTAATACATATTTATTATTATTTTCAAATAACCACTTTCTCAAGCATTCACAATGTACCAAGCATTTATGTGTGTTCTAATTTAATCCTTTAACAACTCTGCAAGGTAGTATAGACATGAGAAGACTGAGGCTCAGAGACAAGTTTGTGGAAGGAGAACGTGGTTTTCAGTTGGAGTTCTATCAATAACTAGGTGATTCAACCTAGGATATGTCTTTTAGCCACCCTTATTTTCCAGGATAATTTTCAGGATTAGATAAAATAATAAATGTGAATTACTTTGTAAAATGCTAGCCAGATATAATTATGTCTTTCCCTACACACACACACACACACACACACACAGAGAGAGAGAAACACATTTAGTAACACTTTGGGCAATTTGTTTAATCTTTCTAACAGTAGCTAACCAAGAAATAATTTGCAAGAGGGGAGCACGGCTTTATCCTTTGTCAGAATCCTACCACTCCTTCTTCAAGCCACACCAAAGAAACATGCCAAGAACTCTGCCTTCCGGACGCACTTCCCTATGTGTCCCATCCAATTAGAAATCCCATACTCTATCCTTGCTCTAAGCCCCAGATTCTCATCTATACTCTAAATTTTTTATTGTTTACCTATCTACTGCAAATAGATACTACTAAAGTACTTGTGCCTAGACTACAGATTAAATTCCAAGTATTTGTGAGAGTGAACTAGATTGTTTTATCTAAAAAGGGAAATAAAGTGATAATTTGTTTATCGGTATTTTGTGGGATTTTCTTCTTAGTCTTTTCAACTTCATACAGTCATTTCATAGTGATTTTCTTTTGTGTGAAATGGGTAAACAAATGGCTTGTTTTAATATTTGCTAATCTCTCATTTATTTCATATACGATGAGGTTTTTTTGTGTGTGTCACAGTAAGGCAAACATGGTAAATTCTATGCAATTTGTTGTTTGAAGAAAAACTTCAATTCTTCATTTTAAAAGTTTTGCATATAAAGGAAACTGAAATGCTATTTGATACGGACCCATGGCAGTAAGTACTATATCCATGTGTACTTCAAAAGAAAAAAAATGCCAAGTTTTAATTTATTTATATTAAATATAAAAATATTAGTTTTAAAAATATACTAATTTTCAAAAAAGGTCATCTGAAATTCCCAGCATCCATTTAACAATCAAAGTAGTGTTTTGCCAGTGGAAAACAAACCCAAATATCAAAGGTTTGATAATGTTGAAAACTAAAATCCCAAGAGGTCTGAGGTCTGAGAGATTTTTGAGTTAGCTGCACATATTCTCTGATCTTTTTAAGGCCTGTGATATACACCCAAAAATAGAAAAGCTATCTTATTCCAGAAGCTTCCTAATGTTCCTAATGCATTGGTTAACAGAAATTAAGTAAGAGTCAAGCTACTCATGAGACAAGCATTGAAAAGAATAATTTTTCCTTTACAGGTATTTACAAAATCAGGGAGGGCTTACAAAAGCACAGAATCCAATGCCTTCTATCACCCTGCATATAGATTGTTGCCTTGGAACTAATATGCCCTCCTACACCTACCCACCCCCAGTCCTCATCATTTTGTATTCTGTATCAGGGAATGATGGACTCTCACAGTTGAAAAGGATCTTAAAAGTTATCTGCTGTAGTTTATTTTTCAGAATTTTAATTCCTTTGATAGCCTATGGGTCACATGTTATCTGGCTAGTAATTAAAGACCTTCCACAATGAGGAATCCATTACCTTCAGGGCAGCTTAGTTCTTTAAATGGTTATCTTTAGAGAATTCTTCATCATATTGAATTAGCATTTGTTGTTTTCTAGATTCCTTTCTTCATCCCCACCTTTCTTCTTTCTTCCCTACTCATTATATCCCTCCCCCTTCTTTCCATCTGTCTTTACAAAAATAACTACTAAGACCCACCATGTGCCAAGTACTCTGTGCTACAATCTGGAAAGACAAGAGTTAGCATTCAGGTTAGTTTTTCTGCAATCAAGTGTCATCTCTTCCGTGGAAACAGTCTAGGAACCACTAAGCACAACACTGTGGTCTGAATATGTTTACACTAAGAAGAACTAAGGTACTATGGAAATAGGAAAGCAGGGCGTCCAATCCATTCTTTCATGAGGCAGTGTCTCCAAAACAAGATCTTGATTAATAAATAGGAGGTAAGCAAGGAATGACATGGAAACCACAGTGGGCATTTCTTATTTGGGAGGTTGCCAGAATTTATTCCTTCTTCTAAAAGGTGGCATTTTCTGTCAGTGTGATGGCTCACGCCTGTAATCCCAGCACTTTGGGAAGCCTAGGTGGGCGGATCACGAGGTCAGGAGATGGAGACTATCCTGGCCAAAATGGTGAAACCCCATCTCTACTAAAAATACAAAAATTAGCTGGGCGTGGTGGCACGCACCTGTAGTCCCAGCTACTCAGGAGGCTGAGGCAGGAAAATAGACTGAATCCAGGAGATAGAGGTTACAGTGAGCCAAGATCGTGTCATTGAACTCCAGCCTGACGACAGAGCAAGACTCTGTCTCAAAAAAAAACAAAAAAAGAAGAAAAAAAAAAGGTGTATTTTCCTCTAGAAAATGACCTCTACACCTCTGTAATTGGTCTTGATGGGACAATACGTCAAGGTGTCCTGACCCCATCAAGAGGTGATGAAGAACATGATAGGCCTACAACAATCCTTCTCTAGGGATTTTGAATATTAAGTTGATGCTTTAGTCCATCTGGGCTGCCATAACAAAATACCTTAGACTGAGTAATTTCTAAGCAACAGAGATTTATTGCTCATAGTTCTGGAGGCTGTGAAGTGCAAGATCGAGGCATCAGCAAATTTGATGTCTGATGAGGGCCCATTTCTCATAGATGGCAAATTTTATGTGTCCTTACACAGTAGAAGGGAAAGGGCTCCCTCAAGCCATTTTATAAGGGCACTAATCTCCCATATCTTAATTATCTCTTAAATGCCCCACTTTTATTTTTTGAGACAGAGTTTCGCTCTTGTTGCCCAGACTGGAGTGCAATGGCATGATCTCGGCTCACTGCAATCTCTGCCTCCTGGGTTCAAGCGATTCTCCTGCCCCAGCCTCCCGAGTAGCTGGGATTATAAGCATGCACCATCATGCCCGTAAATGCTCCACTTCTTAATACTATTGCATTGGAGATAGGTTTCAACATGTGCATTTTTGGTGACCATGTTCAGACCACAGCAGCTGAAGAACAAAGTGATTCGAAGCTCACTTGGGAGTAGATTTGTTACGTAACTCCTGGACAGGATGGTCAAGGGGTTCCTGCTGCCCAGACTCATAGTGCTGCTATGGCTTTTCTCTGTCTGTTCTGTGAGTTGTCTG
Organism: Homo sapiens; assembly: GCF_000001405.40. Classification (NCBI taxonomy): domain Eukaryota; kingdom Metazoa; phylum Chordata; class Mammalia; order Primates; family Hominidae; genus Homo; species Homo sapiens. The sequence goes on from NC_000011.10 coordinate 80,339,855, forward strand.
ATAATTTTTAAATAAAGTTCAATTTTCCTATACTAGCAATATTTTTAATAATTAATCAACCAACTCTCACTTAAGCAGGAAGATTGTCCTAAACAGGAGATACAGTACATGCAAAAACCTGGAGGCATGACAAAAACCAGACAGCGTATCTCCAAGATGAAGTTTGAGAAAAGTGGTGAGGACGCAGGGATAGGACTCACTGGGAAGCGAAGACAGAGAGAAAAGAAACCCTGACTGAATATCTTGTGTAAGCTTCTCAAGAGCTGACCAGGCAAGACATCACAGAATTTTATTCCTGACTCTGATCTCTATCTTTATAGAAGAGGATATTAATTTCTAAAGATCTTAAACCACTCATTGAAGCACGTAGCTGTTGAAGCTGGAGCTGAGCCCAAAGTTTGAGTGACAGAAGATTAGACCCAAGTAACCATGATAGCTCTCCTCCCTTTTCGATGGAAATAAAAATGAGGGCAAACAATTTCAGTCTTCTGAAATAGACATTGTAAAAACAGAAACAAAAACAAAATGAAATAATGTCCAAAGACAATTAAGGCTCAGTAATAACAGTTCAATGTAAGAAAAATTATTGATGTTATTACGTGAAAATACACAAGTACCTCAATTGATTTGGAAGGGAAAAAATAAATTTGATAAAATTTAACATCTCTATCTGATTCAATGTGAAACATCTCTGGGAAAACTGAATGGGGAACACCATTTATTTGCTAATGGCTGTCTACTAATGACAAACAAAAACAATGACACTGAAATCGAAAAATGTAGGACATTTCTTTTAAGGTTATATACAAGAGATTTCAGCTGTCATTAACACTATTTGGTATACAATGAACAGTGTACAATGCAGTAAGAAAATCAAATGAAGCAAAAAATTTAAAAATTAGAAAGGAGAAGTCAACACTATAATTACATACAGATCAACAGTATGTTGTGCATAGGGTATCAAAGACAATCAGCAGAAAAACTGTTGAAACTAATTAGAAAATGTAAATAAAATTTCTAGCTACACAGTCAGTGTATGCAATCAAGAAGGTCCCCCTACACCAATAGCCAACCATAAAATGAAAAGGAAAATTAGACTATTTACAACAGTACCAAAAACTATCTAAAATATCTAACGATTATACTGTTAAAGAAGAGACACTTTAAGAAGACAAAAAAAGGTAAAGCTCTATTAAACGACTTAAATGCTAAATAAACTTTCTTACTAAATTCATGGGTATAATTACTTAACTTTGTAAGGAGGATACCATCCCAATTTAATTAATTCAATGCAATTTTATTCAAAATTCCAGTGAAATTTTGGGGGGAACTTGGAAAAATGTCTTAAAAGTACAGCAAAAACAGAGATTATATTTAAAAAGAACAAAGTGGAGGACTCGGCCGTCAGATCTTGGCCATCAGGAATTGAAGGGCCATGATCTCTGAGAATTTGGAAACACAGTGAACCCTGTGGCCGCCTCTCTACTTTGCCTGGAGAGCTTCCAGGCCATAGCTCTAAGAAGGGGAACCTAGGTGGACCCTGGTAGGCTTCCCAGTTTGAGAAGCCAGAGCTGGGAATTGGACTGCCCAAGTAGCTAGAGTTTGTAGTACACACTGCTGGAGAGGAGAGAGCTGCTTAAAGAGAGCATTAGAGATCTGTAGAGGGTCCTGCACGGTCTTCCACTGAGGTGTGATAAACATATGCCTGCAAGGAAGCTACAAAAGGCTTAGGAAAGAAACACCTGAAAGGACTAGATCATTCTAGGCCTTAATGGTGATGATGATGGATGAACCATGAATTAACCACCATCTTGGGGCTCACACAGGACCAATAAGAGGCATCACATATCAATAGGTCAACAACTGATTGCTTAGAAAAATGTGTTAGAATAAATGAAGTTGGAAACTTTTGTAAAACCATATATGGTCCTAACTTTCAAATGGATTCAAAGGTAATATAAAGCTTATGAATGAAAATGCCTGATTGTCTTTACAGAATTGGGGTTTAGAAGGAGTTCTTAAAACACAATTTAAAAAGAAAACATAAAGTATAAAGAAAGTTGTTATGAATTTGATTATAAGTTAAGGTTTCTATTGGACAAAGAACATCATAGACAGTTAAGAGGATAAATAAAATATTTTAGTGACTTAAACTTAACAGAAATAATACTCAAAATATAAAATTATCTCCTATGAATCAGGACAAATAATGATCAAAAAGTATAAGTTGAGATTTTCAATAACATTAATTTTTTTTTTTTTTTTGGGATGGAGTCTCACGGTGTCCCCCAATCTGGAGTGCAGTGGCACAATCTTAGCTCACTGCAGCCTTCGCCTCTCAGATTCAAACGATTCCCCTGCCTCAGCCACCCAAGTGGCTGGGACTACAGGCGTGTGCTACCATGCCCAGCTAATTTGTTCATTTTTAGTAGAGATGGGGTTTCACCATGTTGGCCAGGCTGGTCTCAACCTCCTGGCCTGAGGTGATCCATCTGCCTCGTCCTCCCAAAGTGTGGGATTATAGCCGTGAGTCACCATGCCTGGCCACATAATATTGAGATTTCAGTAACAGTAAAATAAATGCAGAGCTTTTACAACGTAACAACAATAATACATATTTTTAAAGGAATATATATTTTAAAATATCACAATAAAAAGATAATTATAGTGAAAAATCTTCCTCTTCTTCCCGTCCCACAGCTACCCAGACCTCATGCCTCCACCTCCTTAGACAGCAGCAGTTAATTTCTGCTACATCCTTCCAGAAATATTTTATGCATTATACAAGCAAATACAAGTATTGTTTCCCCTAATAATAATTTAGCAATGCCTCTTGGAGATCTTTCTATTTCAGTACTTGTAAAGCTTCCTCATCTTATGTTTAAAAATTGGTTTTAGTTATTACTTGTTGAGATGGCCAAGGAATAATTAAATATTTCCCTAACAGGATGTATTATTCTCAATAAAGAAGTGGCTAAAGTATGGTGTAGTCACATAATAAAAAGCCACAAATTTGTTAAAAAGGGTGAGGCATCTTTCCTCATAGAACTTACCCTTGTTTAGCAAGCAGCTTCATGTTTTACACATGAGTGGTGGTTTCTTTCACTGATGTGATTTAATGCCTCCCTGTTACCTAAAATTCTGCACTGAAATATAATCTCCATGAGGGCAGAGATATTTCTATAGTTTGTTTCTGATATTTGTCAAGTACATCTGGAGGATGAATTGCTACAATTACAATGCCTGGGTCAAAGGATACACAACATTAAAATATTGAAAGGTTTTTTCCTCAATTCATTCCCAAATTGTGCTAATGTAACTACCACAAACAATTCATGAGACAGTTCTTTCCCCATAGTTTCACCAATACAATATTTTAAAACTTCACTAATTTTTGTGGATCTGATAGAAATATGTGTGTGTGTGTGTGTGTGTGCGTATAAAACATCTAACAAGTTACCACTTTTTAATCACTGGATGTGTAAAAATTTTTTAAAAATATATATGTGAATGTGAGAAAAAAAAGCCTCTTATATTCTGCCAGAAAAATGTGTAATCTTCTAGAAAAAGTTACAAGCATTTTGGAGAGCAAAGCTGCATAACTTTTTGAAATCAAGTGTGTATATACCCTAAGACAACTATTTGCTGTGCCAATAATCAGTTTCAAAATAGCATGTGATTAAATTCTGCTAAGTGAGACCTGAGATAAAATCTACTAAGTGGTATCTAGGAAAATTTTCCTTTCCTTAAGAAGAGACTCACAGAAATGATAGTTGTACTTTTGCCAATGGCTGGCCTGTCTTGAAGTGATTCTTGGAACCAAGGCAGATATTTTGAGATCATGAGGGGTGTTACAAAGGTTTGGCAGAGCAGAAATGTAGAAGGGTCTCTGAGGGCACAGTTGGGCCTTCAAACTACATCCAGACTAGTGTGAGGAGAAAATAAGTATCTTTATTGGTTAAACTACTGCAGTTGCTTTAAAAAAAAAAATGCATGTGGCTAAAGACATTCAAAATGACAGAGGACTCAGTTAGTTTACATTTATTTTCTAGATGTTTAAATTGAGACCAAGAGAGGAAGGGCATGTTCCCAAGTTTACACACCTGGAACTAAGTCTATAAGCAAATCAGTTTGCTCAGTATCAGGTAGAGTTTGCTTGCTGAATCGGTGGAAATAGATATTCAATCAGACATAAACTACCAAGTTCTGAACCTAGCCATAAGGGTTTTTGTTGCTTCCACACAGTTTATCCATTAGGCTGGATAAGACAGATGAGATGACAAAGGAGAGTCACCTGGGAGTTGCAGTCACACAACCAATATTTATATCCCAATTTTCCTCCCTGTTGGCTGTATAATGTAGGATAAGTCACTGAACCTCTTTGGGGTTTGGTTTACTCCTTGATTCCATGGAAGTAAGAGGGCTTCTCCCAATGGCCTTGGAGTTGGCAAACCCCACCATTTTACAGCTGAAAGCACACAGGACACATGATATACAAATTACAGAATGCTACACTCCATTCAGAGGCAGCTCTACTGTTATTTTTTTGCCCTTGAGAGCTAAGGTAAATCATCTAAACTCTCTAAGCCCAGGTGTACTCATAAAGACTGGAAATACTTGAAGCAAAATAGATATTCTTTATGTTTGGAGGGTCAGTTGCTTTTTATAGTGTATATATTTTCCCCTAATTTTCTATGTAGAGGTGTATTATTTTTGGAATCATAAATAAACTATAAGTATTATTAAAAATAATTAACAAAGCTTTTTCCAGTGCGGGTGATTTGTACTCCCATTTCGGTGGCCTGGTGTGTTCAGGCTTGATAAGGAAATGTTTCCCTAAAGGGTGCTTTCATTTATATGTTGCAACGATCTATGTGAAAGGCAAGAGGTTACCATTTAACACAAGTTTGTTTATCCACACTCTGGTTTTAGCAGCCTAGCAGCCCAGAGCCATGAAAAATTGAAAAAAATAAATATGAGGGATTTCTGTGCATATAACTACGTACATATGTATAACAATTTATCTGTACAAAAGCAATCTCATATCCATGAACTTATGTCATATTTATCATTGTTTTTAGTGTAATTAGGGCAGGTATTATTATTGCTGTTTTTGATATTTTGGTTGATGTTTTACTCAGACAAAAAGGCTCAGAAAAATTAAATTGTCCAAAATCACAAATCTGTAAAAATATAAAAATAATTTCAAACTCAGATTGATTCTAACTAAAGTAAACTATTCACAAAATATTTAAGAGGGTCAGGCACAGTGCCTCATGCCTGTAGTCCCAGCACTTTGGGAGTCCACGGCAGGTAAATCACTTGAGCCCAGGAATTTGAGACCAGCCTGGGTAACATGGCGAGACCCCATCTCTACAAAAAAATTAAAACAATTAGCCAGACATGGTGACATGCGTCTGTTGTCCCAGGTACCCAGAAGGCTGAGGCAGGAGGACTGCTTGAGCCCAGGGGATCAAGGCTACAGTGAGTCATGACTGTGTCACTGCACTCCATCCTGGGCAACAGAGCAAGACCCTGTTTCAAAAAACAAAATAGTAATGAGAACAGTAACTAAAAATTATTGATCCCCTACTATGAGCCATCTACTCTCTATATTATCTAATTTAAGTGCACAATAAGCCAATCATATAGGTACCATTATTCTCATTTTGCATTTAGTTAAATAAACTAAACCTGAGAAAGTGGAGGAGGAGATTCACTCAAGACCAGACAACAAATGCTTAACATGGATTAGAACCCAGATCTACCTGACAGCTAAGCAGGTACTCTGTATACATGTGTCCTTGGTACCCAGTTAACTGGCCATACTACTATCATAATGTAAAGTGAGCAACTCATCTGCTTTTTCCCTTTTCACTTCAGCATGGATGTCTGCTTTTCTGAATCCCTTCTGTGATAACTACTGCATTATGTTATTTTCAATTTTGTTCACAAACATCTATTCAGTCCCCCAGACTATAGTGTAATGCAACAAAAAAGACATTGAACATACTTCTGTGGCTTAGGTTGAAGTTCTTGTTCTGTTGCTTATTGTCTGTGTGCAAAAATCACTTGAGAAAGTCAATTTACTCTAAGACTCAGTTTCCCAGAGTGAAAGAGTTGGATCAGTATATTCTCCACCCACTCATAGATTTATACTGAGGACAAAAGTAGGAGACAAATGCACATGTCTGTAAAGTACAATTTTTATTAAAATAGATATTCAATTCATTTACTGTAGTAGTGCCTTATTAACAACACATTTATTTACTAAAATAATAACACTACATATTTAGATTCAGGGCATTGAATTTGGTTGGTTTACATATATTGTCTTCTGTACAACAACACTGAAAAGGAAATAAAATATTTCCCACACGGCATAGGAGGAAACTGAGACTTGAATTGTTTAAATAATTTGTCCAGACCATACCTTTGTCAACAAAATATTTTTTCTGTGATAAATTAATTTATATTAACTAATGACACAGACACTAACTCCATAGGGGGAGAAAAAAATACAGCAACAAATGGCATTCCATCCTCAAAAATTTCAGAAAAACTGAAGCAGGATATTTTCCTGACCCGTTCATAGGACTTGTGACAGGGGTGCCTTGTTTACTCAGCCTGCCACTGTCAACTCCTCACAGGCGGGAGCACACGAGAGAATGAGGCAGAAACTAGAATGCATGAGCACTGGAATGAGCTGGCTGTTTTGCTGCTAGCAGGATCAAACTCCACTCACTCAGACCCACTGTGTTCCACCCTCATGGGAGGGAGCTCACAGGTAAGGGGGTACAGGAGCTGGAGTGAGCATTTTTTGGGCATCTGCAGGAGTGAACTTCATGCAGGCCCCAAGGCAATATCCAGGCGGGGGGTGACTGTGACTCCTGAAGTCCCAGAGTGTGTGTTACAGTGCTTTTTAAGATCTTCTGTCCATGGACAGCTTAAGTGTTAACAGCTCTGTGGGCCCTCTGTCTTTTGGCATGAGGCAGATGCTCTCTGTCAGCGAGGGCAAAGGTCCAGTGTGACAGCCTTTTGTATCTGCATTTGTGGCTCCTGAGCTCTTGTCCGGCATCCAGGAAAAATGAGGTCACACAAATAAATTTGAAGGATGGTATATGCAGAGGATTTTATTGCCAGTGAAAATGGCTCTCAATGGGAAGGGGAGCAGAAATGGGGATGAGGTGGGTAGGTAATCTTCTAAAGTCCATCTCCAGCTGGATTCTTATCTGAAGTTACGCCATCTAGCTGTCCCTCTGATGTCAAGCCACTTCTCTCCGACATCTAGCCGTAGTCCCCAATGTCCAGCTGCTTGTCCTCTCTGCTGGTTGAGTCTGGGGTATTTACAGGCACAGGATACGGGGTGGGGTGCGCCACGGGTGGTTTAGGAAAAGGCTACATTCGAGCAGGAAAACAGGGATATAAGTTCTCCCTTTGGGCTGTGGGTTTTAGGCTTTTCAGCTTGAAGGTGGGGTTCTGTCAGGGACCTGCCCTTTTCTGCCTAGAATTTCTCTGCCCATGTCCCTATGAAAGTCATGTGATTTAATTACAGTGCTGTAACACCATGCCAGCATACTGGTTTTCTCGGACATGGGAGAGAGATAAAACAGCAACAGTCTCTGAAGCCAAGACTGCACAACTTGATCGAGCTGAAGAATTAGTTACCTGCTGGAGGCATCAACAAAGGATTTTCATCAGTGCTGCTCAACATTTTGTATCCGGTCGGTATTCATTATCTCAAACATAAGCCACAAATGTTTATGCTGTTTATTCATTAATTCATCTGCATATGAAATCTGTCCTTTAGGAGGTACTTTTCAAGGACATACTAATTTTAATCATAACATTAATATAACTTGGATTTTGTTTTTCTTCACCTGTCATTCATTTATTCATTTATTGAATAAATGTTTATTGAGGATCAATTAATTAATGCAAAATACTTAATTCTAAGACCATAAATAAAGATATGAAACACTAAGGGGTGGTTTATAGACAAGAATTAATCCCCTCTTTTTTTTCCATCTGGTATTTAAGAATCAAAATCACCTTATCCAAGACTCGTGAAGAAATAAATAATGTCAACAATCCCAGCCTCTGAACACAGATCTCAAATCTTATCATATTGGCTGTGGTTTGTTTTCCATAGTCCTTGAATCCCTGGTCCATGAATCAGTGACAACTGGGCAGAATCTCCTGGGCAGTTTTAAAATTATAAATTTTTGTTCCACATTTATACCAAAATATTTTAAATCAGTAAGTCTGGAGTGGAAATAAAAAATGTATAGATTTTTTAACTGCAAGTAATCCTGATGTGTACTAAGTTTAGGATCCATTGACTATATTAACACATATTACTTTTTAAGCAAATGATAAAAGTTTTGAATCCACCCCCCCATTGACACGTATATACTAGTATAAAATAAAAACTGTACATATCATTTCCAAGAGTTCATAGAGGTTCTATAGCCCATTTAGTTATCCTTTGTGGCTGTAAACAAAATTAAGAGTTCCTGACCTGGAAACATTCTCTCATTATGAAGTCCTTAGAAGACAATCTGGGTGGCTCAAGCCTGTAATCCCAGCACTTTGGGAAGCTGAGGTGGGGGGGATCACCTGAGGTCAGGAGTTCGAGACCAGCCTGACCAACATGGTGAAACCCCATCTCTACTAAAAATACAAAAATTAGCCAGGCTTAGTGGCGGGCGCCTGTAGTCCCAGCCACTCAGAAGACTGAGGCAGGAGATTCACTTGAACCCGGGAGGCAGAGATTGCAGTGTGCAGAGATCATGCCACTGCACTCCAGCCTGGGCGACAGGGCGAGACTCCGTCTCAAAAAAAAAAGAAGACAATCTGGGCACAGGATAGACATCATTACTGTCTGAGGATGCAAGGGAAGGCCCAGAGAAGCCTGGACCCTCAATGCAATTTAGCAATTGCATATCAAGAGTTGTTCTTTCTAGGGAAAAATCATTCCTTTACTATTCCTTTTGCTCACCACATTGAGCAAAAAGAGTATTGGGTATGTTTGGTTAAGGTGATAATGTTAAAGAAAATAAAAAGATTCAGGAAGATTTAAAGGAGGAAGACTCAAAACTTTCTGAGTATTGGAAGTATGGTTTATCAACACTCTTGTCTTACTATCCCGTGCTGGAAGATTTGGGATTAAAGCTAGGAGACAGGAATGCAGACATTAATCAGGCATTGGTGAATGTTCTAGAGAGTGAAAGGAAGCTACAGAGAGGGATTTCTGTGACTTTGTGTTGGTTACATTGTTTCAGTTTTAGTTTCAAGTCAGAGACGTACAAAGAGGACAAGACAAAGAGAATGCCCCTTGTTTAACAATTTAAGACCTGATACATGAGAATTAAATATTTTGGTAGGCCGGGTGCAGTGGCTCACGCCTGTAATCCCAGCACTTTGGGAGGCCGAGGTGGGCACATCATGAGGTCAGGAGTTTGAGAACAGTCTGACCAACATAGCGAAACTCCATCTCTACTAAAAATACAAAAATTAGCCGGGCATGGTAGCATGCACCTGTAATCCGAGCTACTCAGGAGGCTGAGGCAGGAGAATTGCTTGAACCTGGGAGGTGAAGGTTGCAGTGAGCCGAGATTGTGCCACTGCACTCCAGTCTAGGTGACAGAGTGAGACTATCTCAAAAAAAAAAAAAAAAAGATTTTGGCAACTGAACTGGTCAGTCTCTGCTATGTTCTGACATCTGAAGCTTCAAAATAGTCAAAACGCACCTCCCCACTGACATACACACAGACATATACACAGAGAGGGAGAGAAGTATTGGGAAAGGGGTATGTTTCTTTTTGTGATTGACAGGTTCAGATAAAATAAATCATTAGAGTGAGTTTACAAATAATCATACTGAGATGGTGGATATTATTGGTAGACATGGCAGAGGCATTCTTGCTTTGATTGTATTTGGTTTTAGTAAGTAGCTTTCAAGTACTTGTCTATGGAAATATAAATATTCAGAGGAAGTATATGGGCAGGAGCTGGGCTTGGGGTTGATGGGTACTGGGAGCAGTGAGGGCCCCTTGCATGCACAGAGCAGTTTCCCCTTGTTTTGTGTGAATTTTAAGAATTTGCACAACATTCTGTTTACAAAGAAAAGTTCTTCTATTTGTTTTAAGTATGAAAATCATGGCTTACAAGAAATATTTACTTTCCTAAAACTTTCTGAATTAAGTAATGTTCAAAATACCCTGTGTAAATCTGGTATAAAGCTGTAACTCATTTATACTGTGTTAAGGAAGTCTAAATACCTCAGCTATGAACTCTGGATGGGCCACCTCTGTCACATGGAGCCAAAGTTCACAGAGAAAGTCTCATACAGGTGTGTCTCCAAACACAACCCCTATATCATGGTATATTTAGTGTTGTACTCCTCAAAGTCCATTCTGGAGGAAATTACCCAGGGGACTTCCTTGTTTTGAAGAAACTGACCAACACACTTCAAGGAATTGTTTCCCTACAAGCAGCATGTAGAAATGAAAATAATAGTCTGGAATCAGACTCAGTTGCTAATCACAGCTCTACCATGAGCTAGCTCTTGTGAAAGTCTTGGACAAGACAGTTAAACTTGAGAGCATCGTTTTTCTAATCTGCAAAATACGGATAATATTCTCCATTTCGTAAGGTGGATGGGAGAATTAAACGTACTAGCACGTTTAATTCAAGATTAACTGGAGGTACAATAAATAATCTGGAGACCCCTTGAAAACTTTGTGGAGAAATGAGAAAGATGGGTAAAAGACTTCTAATGTTACCATTTTCCTTTGAAAGAATCCTTTCTGGCCAGTTTGAATGGCAGGAAAAGGGAGGGACTCAATGGCTTTGGGAAGGTGTGTGCGCAAACACACGGTCAGATAAGGAACTTTTATGTTTCCTTTTGAGGGCTGATGACCAAGCATTCCTGAGATTGAGGACAACATTCAGCAAGTCTCTAGCCGTTGTAAACTCTGAAACACATTTTCTTAGTAAGTAGATATTTTTCCTTAAAAAAGATTAAATGCAAATTTGATCCAAATAAAGAAATTAGTTTAAAAACTCATAAAGTATAAAAGGAAGGGGGATCATTTTCTCCATTCTCTATTCAATACTTTTTAGCTAAATGACATCAGAGTTCATATCATGATCAAAATGGATTCTAAGAAGAACGTGAGACAAGCTGAGATTCAAAAGAGACCCAGATACATGGTAGAAGTCCCAGGGAAGCATGACTGCAAGCTAGTTACCAAGATGGGACTACTGTAATTATCTTGCCATTTCATTTCCTTGAGCACATTTTGCAACAGTAGCTAAGTTTTTTTTTTGTTTTTTTGTTTTTTTTTTTAAAGTCTGGCAGAGGGCTAAAATTAGCAGGGCTCTCTTTAACTGGAATAATACTAGACAATTGTATACGAATTTTAATGGTCTCAGAATTCCAAGGTAGCATTTGTGCAAAAACAGTTTTTCATTTTCTGCTTTGGATCCCCTTTTGAGACAGTGGTCTAACCTGTACCATAATTGTCTACCATGAAGTTCTCTAGCCAAGAAAAATAATGTCTTTGCTTTTCATAGCTGTGGTTACTTCCCCATCATAAACCTTATTGCACAGTATTTTTAGTGCCTTTATATTTTCTTTTCTAAATTTTTTTTTTTTTTTTTTTTTTTGTAGAGACTGGGGGGGATCTCACTTGGTTGCCCAGGCTGGTCTCGAAGTCCTGGCCTCAAACAATCCTCCTGCTTGAGCCTCCAAAAGGGCTTAGAATTAGAGGTGTGAGCCACTACACCCAGCTTGCTTTTATATTTTCTGAATCACCCTATTTACCTTAGGCAGCATGTAGGCAGGAATTGCGTCTTTATTATTTACTATTATACCCCTAGTGCTTGGTATTTTCTATCAATGTTAGCCATTCTAGTAGGGTTTTGTTTGAATTTCCTTAATGAATGATGATGTTGAGCACCATTTCACTTGGATATCCAGTTTGTGAAGTGTCTGTTCAATCCTCTTGCCCATTTTTTTATTGAGCTATATGTATTTTCTTACTGACTTGCAGGTAGGAATTCTTAATATGTTCTATATATATATTATATATATACAAATTTTATGTTTTTGTGTATTAATATATATGTACATATGTATATACATTATGTATATATATAAAATACATATAATACACGAAAAATATAAACAAAATGTTCATATAAATTATATATAACAGTTTTTACCCATTCATCTTTTAAATCATTCATTAAGTGAAACATTACTTACTACATATCTAACATGTACATGCCAAAGACAATGCTAGTGCTAGGGATAAAGAATGGTTATTTTACAAATTGCTGATACATGCTTATAGGAAAAAATGTTGGTAAATTTGGGGATAATAAATAGCAAGCTGGGAAGAACTAGTTTTTTATTTCCAAATAACCTATGATCTCTCACCTAGACGTTATAATTATCAAATTTATTTTATAATATGAATTATCAAATATGAATATTTGCTAAAATATCAAATATGAATATTTGCTAAAATATCAAATGTATTTTATAATATGTAATGGAATATTCATCATTACAGGTACCAGGAAATAAAGATTTTCACATTTCCTTGAATGTTAAGTAGTTCTAAAAGTATAAGTTGCAAATACATCTTTTAGGTATGTATTGGGGATACATATTTTCTGGGTAACTGATAAATTATAAACTCTTTCAAAATAAAATTTATGATAGGCAGCTTTTAATACTCAAAGAGTCTTTTTATTAAAGATATTTCAAAGCATTTTTCCACAAATTTTCTTTAATACCACTTTTTATGTTTAGTTAATTTTTGATTTATCTTGTAAAGTTTAAATGAAATTTAGCTTGTTTGTTTGACAGATTAACCATATGATTATATGGGTACCACATTAATGGGAATAAATGAATAATTATTAAGTGATGAATCTGTTTCCTTCTAGATAAAAGAGGGGTTTCTAGGACGAGTAGTACTAGGGGTTAAATTTTCTTTCACTGAATACATTAATAACAAAATATTTTATTTAATCAATCAATAAAATAGTCAATTAGTCTATTGATATTATTATCTCAAACTTTGGAGAACTCCGTACTGTGCACTGAGTAGGTACAGAAATATAGAAAATAGAGTCTCTCCCCTCTGATTCCATATAGTCTAGAATTGGAGATAAGCAATGTAACTGGAATTAAATGTAGAAAAGTGTATGTCATAAGCAGTTTATAGATAAAGGGCTATCGCCATTGAAAAAATGATTCCAACTCATTGGAAGATGGTGTTTTTTGGTGAAGTTATGGAGGATTGGGACAAATAGAGAGGCAGGGTATGGAATAATCTGTACTGAAGATGATCAATATGGTAGCCGACTTAAAGAAGATAATGTTAAAAATCCAGTTTCTCCCTTGAGCTAGCCTCGTTTCTTATGCTCAGTCAACAGCCACATGTAACCCACGACTATCACATTCAGTGACACAGATGGAGTACATTTCCTTTATCACAGAATGTTCAATTAAACTAAGCTGCTGTAGACAAAAGAGCATGAACAACACTCAGGTATAAGACACTGTATGGAATATCTAGAAAAGAGTAAATATGTCCGTTTATCTGATGTTAGGTAATTTAAAAAGAAATGACTTGAGGCAGCCTAGGAAAAATGTTGAGATAAGACCATGAAGGCACTTGAAAATGAGTTTTACTTTGATAAAAAATTAAATAAAAAGTAGCAAACTGTTCAGAAATATGCATAAACAATGTTGACGTGACAGCAATAAGAGCAGTTTAAAAACGGAAGGCCACTTGGGGATAGCTCAAGAGAGAATTGCTCCATATTTGAACTAGACCAATGGCAGTGGAAATACAGTGAATTCAGGGCTTCTGTGCCTTTCACCACACATTCATTGAAGAAATATGTATAGAATATATATTGTAGGCCAATATTCTCTAATCGAGGGATATAAAATAAATTTTAAAAACATACAAAACATTCTTCTTCATGAAGTTTACATTTTAGAAGAATGAGCAGGCTAGATTTTAAATTCATTCACCACTTTCATGTATTTCTTATAACAAATCTTGGAGGTGGATATACTGGCTCTCACTTTATAGATGAGATTAATTACCATATGTTCCAAACCCACATAATAGCTATAATAATAAAGTGATATAGCATGGTTATATCTATATTATATGTTTATGTATAGTTACATATCACTTAACGACAGCCATACATCCCAAAATGCACTGTTGGTGATTTTGTTGTGTGAACGTCAGGGTGTACTTACACACACCTAGAGGATATAGCCTATTATATATACTTCTTGCTGTATGGGATAGCCTATATCTCCTAGGCTACAAACCTTGTTACTGTACTGAATATTATAGGCAATTGAAACACAATGGTATTTGTGTATCTAAACATACCTAAACATAGAAAAGGTACAATAAAAATATAGTGTAAAAGATTAAAAATTGGCATAAATACTAAAATAGGGCACCTTACCATTAATGAAGCTTGTAGGACTGGAAGTTTCTCTGGGTGAAGCAGTGAGTGAGTGGTGAGTGAATGGAAAAGCCCAGGACACCACTGTAGACTTTATGAATACTGCACACTTAGGCTGCACTAAGTGAATTTTATAATTTTTTTCCTGGCCAGGCTCCAGGGCTTACAACTGTAAACCTAGAGTACTTTGGGAGGCCAAGACAAGGGATGATCTCTTGAAGCCAGAGTTCAAGACTACCAGGGCAATATAGAAAGACCCCATCTCTACAAATAATAATAATAATAATGATAATAAATTAGCCAGGCATGTTGGTGCATGCCTATAGTCCTAGCTACTTGGAAGGCTGAGGCATGAGGATGTACTGAGCCCAAGAGTTCCAGGTTAGAGTGAGCTATGATCATGTCACTGCACTCTAGCCTGGGCAACATAGCAAGACCCTGTCTCTAAAACAAAGCAAAAATTTTTCTTTAATAATCAACCTTAGCTTACTGTAACTTTTTTGCTTTATAAACTTTTTAATGTTTTTAACTTTTTTATTCATTTGTAATACTATTTAGCTTGAATACAAACACATTGTATAGCTATAAAACAATATTTTCCTTCTTTATATCTTTATAAGCTTTTTTCTATTTTTAAAATTTTGCATTTTGTATTTTTACTTTTTAAACTTTGTTGTTAAAAACTAAGATACACACATTAGCCTAGGTGTATGCAGGGTCAGGATCATCAGTATTTTACTGTCTTCCACCTCTACAACTTGTCCCACTGGAAGATCCTTAGGGGCAGTTACATACATGGAGCTGCCATCTCCTGCAATAACAATGTCCTCTTCTGGAATACCCCCTAAACCACTTGCCTGAGGCTGTTTTAGAGTTAACATCTTTCATAATAAGTAAAAGAAGTATACTCTAAAACAATGACAAAAAGTACATACATAAACCAGTAACAGTCATTTGTAATCATCATCAAGTACTGTACATAATTATGTGTGCTATACTTTTATACAGCTGAAATACAGGGGGTTTGTTTACACCAGCATCAACACAAACACATGAACAATACATTGTGCTGTGATGTTACGATGACTACAATGTGATTAGGCAATAGGAATTCTTTAGCTTCATTATAATCTCATGGAACCACTGTCATATATGTGGTTCACAGTTGACAGAAATACTGTTATGGGATGCAGTGACTGTAACATGGTTGACATTGTTCTAAGTGTTTTATGAACCTCATTTAGTATTATTTAATATTCATTTAATATTCTTAAAAATCTTATGAAAAAGAGATTCGTGTTTCCATCTTCTTTTAATAAATGAGAAAACTGAAGTTTTACATGTTTACATAATTTGTCTAAGTTCACTGAATAACTATGTAGTAGAACTAGGATTTGAAACCACACAGTTTAAGTCCAAAAGTCACACTCTAATTTATAACACAATGCATATAGGCCTTTTTGGTTCCAAAGCTCATACTCACATTTAGACAGGAGTAATATTCAGTGACTTGACTGGCTATAGAATGTGAGCATAAGGGAGGAATTAAACTCCTATATATTGGTGTCATTCATCTAGGGATGTACAATAATTACATCCTGAATTCATACTGTTCCCTGAATAAACCCTGAATTCATGTTATCATTGCCCTGACCAAATTAATATAATGAAAAAGTCTGATGTCTTCCATGTGAATTAACCCTAAAATTAGAGTGCAGAGGGGGTGCAAGAGGGGAAACACTTATTAAAGATCATATAAATGAATGGTCTTTGAGAATGAACGTCTTTCTGCCTGCATTGATTGGAATGGGGGTGTACAATAACACTTGCAGATAATCTCAGCAAGCTGAGGGGCCTTGTGGCTTCCCACTGTCATGCCTAGAATCAACACTCTTCAATTTGCAGTCAAAGGAGACTTTTACTTGAGGAAGCAGATTGGCAGTTTGCTTCTTTGGTCAATGGGTGACTTTTCTAATCAAGGCCAAGTGGCTTAAAATTTGAGACCTTCCACTCTGACTCCTGAGGCTTCCCAAGACTAGCAGCTCATGTGTGGTGCATGCACAAGGGGCCTCTTGCTCAGCTAAGGTCCTGCTGCTCATAGTCCAGCCCTTTGCTATTTGATACAAGCTGATACATTTCCCAAGCCTGAAGTCTCCATGTCAGCCTCCGTCTTTCTTTTCTTCTCTTCGAAGCTATACATTATCAAACCCCATTCACTTAACACCTTAAAGGTAATTAGTCTTCTACTTGCCAGCCTCACTACCTTACCTTTAGTCTCTTTATTGTCTCTTGCCTGGATTACTCCAAAGGCTTTCTAATCTGGTCTCCAAATTCCCTTCTCCCTGCTACATTGCAATTCATTCTCTACATAGCTCCTGATTAGTCTGTGTAAAATGAAGATCTGATCATGTAAATCCCTTGATTAAAAACCTTTATTAATTCCCATTGATCTTTGATGCTGTTCAAGCTTCTTAACATGAATCTACAAGGACCTCATGATCTGATTCTTTTTTCATCTATTGACACTCTACCCCTCCTCTGTGTCCTCTCCTGAACTCTAATGAAGTTGTTCTTCCCCAAAGCACACTATGCTGTTTCATACCCCATACCTTTGAATATGAATTGTGTTTTAATTTGTGCATTTAAAGCTTTATTCTCACATATTAATTTGCTATTCCTTTTTATAATATCAAGAGGTACCTAATGTAGAGCCATAGGCACCAAACCAAACCTTGACGTTGTGAAAGATGACATTCTCAGCCAGGCCAAGGGCAGAAGGGGATTCTGAAGCAAAATTTTATACATACCTCTAAGCTCTTGACCTGAGATGGAGCTCCATGCAGTCAGGACTTCTTTGTTGCTTAAGAGTTTATAGGTATTGCTCATCTACTCATTCCTTATTGCTAAACATCCTTGATGCTAATCAGCTGCCCCTTCTGAAGGTGAGCACCTGACACCATATTTAACAGATGGATTCTGTTGGCCATGCCTCCTCCCCTCTTTACTCTCCTTTGAGGAAGGCACCATCAGTCACTGTGAAAGTGGTATCCCTGCCAGTGATGGCAAATGTCAAGCTCTTTAAAGACCAAAAAAGGGTCACACGTTGTATGCAGAGCCAGTAGTAAGAACAGATAGGGAGTCAGTTGTCTCTTCTAATGGGTCCGCTTACTTTCTTCTTGTACCATTGGAAGAAAAAAAGATCAGAATGGCTGAGTGTACCCAAGTAAAATAAATGTTACAAGGAAAAAAGAGAAACTGGTTAATCAGACTGGGTCTAATGTGGCTTTTAAGAAAGGCATTGAGTTGTAAGGGGAGTCTGTAAGCAGTCATAAAACTGAACCAATATAGGGGGTGCAGTACACCCAGTCCCATCAATGTGAGGAGACTTTTATAGATGTCCTTAGTGAGATACTTCAGGCTAAAGAGAATGGCAAAGAAATAAATTTTTGTCATTTAGTTTTGGATACCCTGAAGACTGCAAAGTCATTATATATGCCTCATAGCATGGCATCATGAGTAATATTTACAAGGATGAAATTTTCTGGAGCCCACTGCCTCCTGATTGTCTACTTTCTTGTCCAGTAAGAGTGAAGCATGAATGGTCATTTTCTCCCTTTGGTCTCAGTATTCTTACCCTTGACTTTTAGGAGATAGAAGCAATATTGAATAGCCCATGGTTCATTCTTTCTGCCCAGAGGCTAACCAAAGAGAAATACTTTTTCCTGGGTTGGCTACTCCTTATCAAACGAAAATTACCTGCTTAAAGGTGGAAGCATCGAGGGGAGAGCAAGGCTTTCTTTGTTGTTCATATCGATGACCAAGCTGTCACTTAATGTTACTACCTCGTTTAGGAAGAGTCCATTATATTGACTGGATGACTTACTTTTTCCTTCAGTTGAGACCTTTGAGGCTTTTGATACATTTGGGTTTCCAAGTAAAGAACAGAGGAGAGCAGAACTGTTCTGCATGCTACAGGGAGAAAGGAAATTGGTGCCTGAGGGCAAAGCAGGTAGGAAAGGTAGGAAAGAACAGAAAAGAGAATGGAGGAAGCAGCAATACACAGTAAGCTTTAGGTGCAGGAACGTGACTCCGCCCCATGACTTCTCAGAACTTTGGAGACAATTAAACCCACAAGGTGTTTGGCATGTGTAGAGTCCTTAGAGAAATCAGTGAATGCTCTAATCTCTGCACAGATTGATACCAAGCAAAATGCAGACAACTTCAATGGACAAAAATGACTGTGATAAAGAGAAGCATCAAGATAAAAGCTCCTACAGGGGAATAAAAGTTGTGAGAGGGATTTGGGCTTTCATCAGCCTTGGGGTTGGTAGTAGCTGAACAAATTATACCCAGATCTTTAATATGCTAATATCTCCCAGCTGTCTTCTGGGTAACATCAGTTATTTCCATATGCTTAAGTTTTGCTGTAGTCCAAACCACTTCTACGAGACAGGAAGGGATTTCAGGCCAATGTTCTAGCCTGGCCTGAAGACCAAATAGTGAGTGTGCAAGTAGCAGTGCCCATGTGTCATTGCTTGCCAAAAATGTAAAAAGAGCACTAGCAAGAAGTGGCTACTAAGCTGTATCTTAGTCTATTAGAGCTGCTATAACAAAATACCATAACTTTAGGGGCTTATAAACAACATTTATTTCTTACAGCTCTGGGACTGGAACATCCAAGTTATAGGTGATGGAAAATTTTGTGTCTGGTGAGGACCCATTCCTCATAAATAGTGTCATCTTGCTGGGTCCTCACATGGTGGAAGGGGTGGATGAGCTCCACTGGGCCTATTTAAAAGGATACTTATCCAATTTATGAAGTCTCTGCCCTCAGGCTTTAATTATCTCCCAAAAGGCCTCACCTGCTAAAACTATCACGTGGCTCATTACAGTTGACCCTCGAATGATGTGCAGGTTAGGAGTGCCAACCTCCCACACAGTTGTGTAACTTTTAATTCCCCAACATCTTAACTACTAATGGCCTACTGCAGACTGGAAGACTTACTGATAACATAAAGAGTCAATTGACACACATTTTTTATGATATGTATATATACCATATATATATCATTACATATATTGTATATATATCATTTTGTATGATATAATCATATCTTTCTCCAGCTTACCATAAAGTAAGCTAGAGAAAAATAAAATTATGAATATCATAAGGAAACTATATTTACTATTCATTAAATGGACGTGGATCATATATATTATACATATATATCATTTTATTATATATATATTTTTCTCCAGATTACCATAAAGCAAGCTAGAGAAAAATAATGGTTATTAAGAAGATCATAAGGAAGAGAAAATATATTTACTATTCATTAAATGGAAGTGGATCATCCTAAGAGTCTTATCTGCATCTTCACGTTGAGTAAGGCTGAGGAGGAGGAAAAAGAGAAGGGACTGTTCTTGCTGTCTCAGAAATGGCAGAGGCCTAGGAGGTGGAGGAGGTGGAAGGGGAGGCAGGAGAGGCAGAAAAGGCAGGCACACTCCATGTAATTTTTACAGAAATACATATTATTTTGTTTTTTTTTTTGTTGTTGCTTTTTCATTTCTTGAAAAGTGTTTGTATGTGGTACCAATTCTTTATTCATGATTTGCTTTAGTTTTAGTGCCAGTCTCATAGAATGATCCATGACATAAAATAAGGAAAAAAGCAGTGTTAAATAATTGGATTGCTTCTGCCAGATTGTCTATTATCAATTTGCTTTCTGGCACTGCTTCTTCTGTGTCTTCTTCCTCACAGTCTGACACTGGTTCAGAAGCACTCATCTCCATCAAGTTGTCTTCTATTAATTTCTCTTGTGTGGTATCTATTAGCTCTTGAATTTCTCCAAGATCCATATCTTGAAACTCTTTACTTTCCAACTTTTTGCCATATCCACAGTGTCTGTCATGATTTTCTCGGTTGGCTTGGTCATAAATCCTGTGAAGTCATGCACAACATCTGGACACAGTTTTCTCCAGCAGAAATTTATTGTTTGGGGCTTGATGGCTCTCATGGCTCACTGTTTCTCTAATAACAATGATGGCATCTTGAATGGTGTAATTCTTCCAGACTTTCATGATGTGCTTTCTATCAGCATTCTCTTCTCTGGTGTTGGCAATCCTTTTAACACAGTAACTTGTATCATGAGCCTTAAAGGTTCTCGTGATCCCTAGATCTAGAGGCTAAATTGAAGACCTTGTGTTTGGGGGCAAGTAGACCACTTTCATGCCTTTGCTGTCGAACTCATGAGGTTCTTGGTGGTCAGGGGCATGTCCAGTATTAAAAGAACTTTACTGGCAAAGTATCTTACTGGCAAGGTACTTCCTTACTTCAGGGACAAAGTGCCCATGCAACCAATTCAGAAAAAAGGATTCTTATTGTTCAGGCCTTGTTGGACAACAAAAAGTCTTCAAGTTAGTGTTTATCTTTTCCCTGAAAGGCTCAGGGGTAGCAGCTTTATAAATAAGAGAAGTCCTGATCATGAACCCAGCTGCATTGGCACAAAAGAATAGTGTTAGCCAATCCATTCCTGCTTTAAATCCTGGTGCTTGCATTTTTTCTTTCCTAATAAATGTCATTTGTGGCATTTTTTTTTTTCCAGATGGGCACTTTTGTCCACATTAAAACCCTGTTCAGGCAGATATCTTTTCTCCTCAATGATTTTCTTCATGGTGTCCGAAAACTCTTCTGCTGCCTCTTGATCAGCAGAAGCTGCTTCTCCTGTTTGCCTTGACATTTTTTTAAAGGCAAATCTCTTTCCGAAATTTTCAAACCATCCTTTGCTGGCATTAAATTCTCTATCTTTAGATTCTCATCTTCCTTTTGCTTGAAGTTGTCATAAAATGACTTCACTTTTTCTCAAATCATATTAGAGTCTACAGGTATGCCTTTCTTAGAGCAATCTTGCACCTATATAAAAGCTGCATTTTCAACATGAAATAAAAAGTTATTTCACAGAAAGTGCAAGGTTTCTGTTACCTCCTGATGTAGCTGCAGTGACAGCTTCATGAATTTCTTTCCTTCTTTTTTTTCTTTCTTTCATTCTTTTTCTTTCTTCTTTTTTTTCACAATTTTCCTTATGCTTGATTCATTTATCTTGAAATAGTGGGTGACCACAGCTGCAGATCTCAGTCTCCAGTACACATGGAGCTATTTAACTTTTTTTTTATAATGTTATAACTTCACTCTGCTTCTTGGGAGCACTTCTAGCATTATTAACAACATTTTGTATAGGTCCCATGGTGTTCTTCAAGACTTACAGTATTGCACCAAACACAATGAAAATACAGAAAACCTTAACAGATCACCTTTTACTGTAATACACAATTTACTAAAGAGAGAAACTGCTTCTACAGAGGTGAAAAGCCTCTCATGGCATTTTTAGCTCATACTTGGAACATGTGAACTCATCACAATACCAACAGGAGGTAGCTCCAAAATTATTACAGTGGTACAGAATGTACTACAATTTATGTAGTTATGATTTGATACTGAATCTTTGTTTACGCTCCTGATTGCCAATGACATTATCTACAGTCTGTGTTTGTGTGCATAAGTTTTGATACATTTTAACTTTTGATAATAGATTTGTATATATATTATAGTAGTAACTGATATAATAGTATCTATGTATAATTTATGCACTCATGACACATCTTTTTTTATTTTTGTGATATTTCTAGACTCTCCAGTTAATCTGTGAATTTTTTTTTTTTTTTTCTGAGACAGAGTCTTGCTCTGCCACCCAGGCTGGAGTGCAGTGGCAAGATCTTGGCTCACTGCAAGCTCCGCCTCCTGGGTTCACACCATTCTCCTGCCTCAGTCTCCTGAGTAGCTGGGACTACAGACAACCGCCACCACGCCCGGCTAATTTTTTGTATTTCTAGTAGAGATGGGGTTTCACTGTGTTAGCCAGGATGGTCTTGTTCTCCTGACCTTGTGATCCACCCGCCTGAGCCTCCCAAAGTGCTGGGATTACAGGCATGAGCCACCTTGCCAGGCCAAATGTTTTCAAATTGTCACAAATCTCCAAAAATTTTTCCCATACATTTATTGAAAAGATCTGTGTGTGAATGGACTCACATAGTTCAAACCCGTGTTGTTCGAGGGTCAATTATAGTTTTAACATATGAATTTAGGGGGAGGGAGAGACACAAACATTCTATGAAAGCAAGTCTTAATCTCTTAGATCTTGAGAAATATAAAAAGTAGCGCATTTTGCCATTGTGACTTTCCAAGGACGTTGAAAAAGTTGTCACACAGGGTCAAGTGGGAGACTACATTTTGACCAAAAATAAAGCAAATGGGACCCAGAGTTTTCCCATATGGAGAGGCAGTGTTGTGTAATGGATAGAACCTAAGCATCAGAGCATGAGTCATCCCATTCCTCACTCTGCACAGAGGCTTTTGGCCGCAAAGGAGATGGATGAAGATTCAGGACCACACCCTGTTCCTTTTCTTTTGCCTTCCCTCCTATGCTCCGCCCCGACTAGCATGATTCTATATTTCCAACTGTTCACCGTTGTTACCAAAATTTCCAATTATAGCTTTGTTGGAGTACCTGAAATCTCCCCTCCTACTAATATAAATCTAGCTGTGGGACTGGAGAAGTTGCTTTGCCTTTCAGGCCTCAGATTTCTCATTTATGAAATAGAGGTTTTAGAACAGATGGTTCTTTCTAGCCTTATGATGTTATGAATAAAGATTCCTATTCCTCAAAATCCATTCCTTTTAGATCTTTGATTTTCGAGGATTTCAGTATGAGAGAAGGTTTTGCACCATAATCAGCATGCCATGGGCTCAGATTTCTCATGTGTAGTTTTCAAATGGTCAGAATGAGAAATGCTGTAGCGTATTTATAAACTAAAGACTAATGTGACATTAAATACTAAAAATGCAATGCCATGCTAGACGTGATGGCTGAATATTCATTAGGCAGAACATTTTTATGTCAAAATTAAATGAGTAAAGATGTTCAAAATGCTTTAATTTGTGGCTGATTTTAACCACAAATTATTGTTGCAAAATTTGGTTGAACAATTCCCAAGTCCTTTCTCTGACAGGTTTTTTTTTTTAATAGTATTAAACATACATACATACAACCTAAAGTTAATAGACCTCTTTCTTTTTGAAGCGGAGAACTTTCAAAGAACTACTCTCCCCTTTACACAAGTTTGCTCATCAAAATCTGTTTTTCTTTGATCTTAGACTTCGGCAATTCATCAACAAACGGAGTACTACAGTCTTTATGACATGATGAAATTCTTCTCAATCTATGACAACTTTCTAGGATAGATGTACAAAAGGGAAGAGCAATTATCAGTCACTCAGTATGTGCTTAGGACAGCAACAGGCTCACAGGCCTTCACTGAAAGAAAGCTTGTGAAGGGGATGCATGAATGAATGAATGGATGCACAATAAGGGTAACTGAAGATCTCCCATTTAATGCTCAGTCCTCCAGGACAGCCACTGCAGCACCCACACTATGATTAAGTTTTTAGAAAAAGTACCTGATATAGTTTGGTTGTTTGTTCCCAAATCCCATGTTGAAATGTAATTCCCAACGTTGGAGGTGGGGCCTGGTGGGAGGTGTTTGGATCATGGGCATGGGTCTCTCATGAATGGCTTGAGCCATCACACTGGTGATAAGTGAGCTCTTGCTGAGTTCACACGAGATCTGGGCCTTTAAAAGTATGTGGAACCTCCCTACCATTCTCTCTCTCTTTCCTTTTCTTGTTCCCGCTCTGCCATGTAAGATGCCTATTCCCACTTTGCCTTCTGCCATGAATAAAAATTCTCAGAGGCCTCCCCAGAAGCTGAGGAGATGCCAGTGACATGCCTGTACAGCCTGCATAACTGTGAGCCAATTAAACTTCTTTTCTTTCTAAATGACCCAGTCTCAAGTATTTATTTATTTATAGCAGTGCAAAAGGCCTAACGCAGTATCCAAGGTCCCAGAGTTTATAAGTGGTGGAGTAAAGATTTAAATGGACAGGGCCAGGGGCACTGTGGCTCACACCTGTAATCCCAGCACGTTGGGAGGCCCAGGTGAGTGGATCATGAGGTCAGGAGTTTGAGACCAGCCTGGCCAATATGGTGAAACTCCGTCTCTACTAAAAATACAAAAATTAGCCAGGTGTGGTGGTGCATGTCTATAGCCCCAGCTACTCGGGAGGCTGAGGCAGAAGAATCGCTTGAACGTGGGAGGTGGAGGTTGCAGTGAGCCAAGATTGTGCCACTGTACTCCAGCCTGGGTGACAGAACGAGACTCCATCTCAAAATAAATAAATAAATAAATAATAAAAAAATTTAAATGGACAGAAAGCTCATTTTTGAGCAAAAATGAATGTAACTTAAAAATGTTTTCTCATGACATAAATATATTATTGTATTTTCATTTACTCAACTGGGGGAATTATATGCCTATAGATAATACGACAGCATATAAAGGATGCAGTGTTTAGAATTAGAGAGGTAAATTTAACTTCTGCTATTTAGTAGTTGTGTAACTGTAGTTGAGTTCATTAACACCAAGGCTTAGTTTCTTTATATACAATATAATGACCATATTACCTAGAAGGGTTGTTCTAAGGATTAGACAGAATATGTACCGAGTGCCCCCATATATCAGATGTGTCCTGATGTTCAACAGATGGCAGACGGTATTACTATTATAGGTGCTGATTAAATATTTCATGAATAGTAGCATTGATTATAAAAACATTTGAACAGCTCAGTGCCTTTTCAACTTCTAAAAAAGTGAAAAAACACACAAAGCATTTTGAAATCTCTAATGAGCAAATGGAAATGTAAAGTTTTGGCACTAAAAAGTCATTACTGTAAGAGAGGTAATTACTAGTGTGAGCTGTCTGTAGTATCACTGGCTTGACTCCTAATTTTGTTTGAGACAAAGGTCTTAGCAATGCCTAATCAGTTAAACTCCTAAAAGAAAAGAGATTTTGCTTGAGCTGTACTCATTCATCCTTTTCTTACTACTGAAGCGAAGTTCCTTGTTGTAGCTCTAAAGAATTACACACACAGTTTCTGAACCTCCCAGGTGACACTTGTTATGTGCTTACCAGTCACTAAGTGAATAACATAACTCACCTTTTTGGTTTCTGTATCAGCTCTTTCAATTACAACACTGATGTGCTAGGCCTGCCTGTGTGACTGTATGTTGTTGCTAATGGAGTTTTCTCTGCTTACTTTGCAGAAATGGAAAGCTGTTTTGGTTTCATTTCTTATACAGTGTAGCTAGTTAGCCTTCGGTCTCTCTTTATACATATAAACACTAAAATATGACTACTTGATGGTGTTGCCAATCCAAATGTTATAACTGGTATGAATGTGTAGACTGATTCTATTTAAAAGTAGATAGAAGTAAAAAACTTAAACTCTTTTGCCTGATACTTGAGGGTGACACATGCTGGGACAGGGAGGGGAAAGCAACACGTTTATGGAGAGTATAATGGAGAGTAGCAGACACATTTTTACCCAGGACCAAAATCCTGGGTAAAAATTTTAGTTAAGTACGCTACCATCATCTTCCTTGTCCTCATCATAACAATAACACTAATAAATACAATAAGAAACAAAATAACAGCTATACCCTTTGCATAGGTACTGTACTAGCCATTTTAGTGTTTTGTATCACCTGAAATTTACAACAATATTATGAGGAACATATTATTGCCTTCTTTTGGGATCAAAAATGGAGTGTTGGATGACTGTATTATGATGTAGTTCTCTCAAGTTGCAAGTTGCAGAACTGTGATTCACACATAGGAGGTTTAACCCCAAATTCTTGCTCCTTTTACCACGTCACTGTACATTCCCACTCAGACCCTACACTGTAATCATGTTCAGGTCACATAAACTTCATGAACCTCTGTTTCCTTATCTGTATAGTGGTCATAATCATGATAACCAGGTCACATTATTTGAAGATCAATTATAATAATATATAAAGATATGCCTTATCTTTTATAGTGTGCTGTGTAATGGTTGGATTATCTCTCCTTGCAATACCACTACTATCATTTTCACAGCAACAATAGCAAAAACAAGGTCCCCTCCAGTGAGACACAAAAAGTAAAAGAAATTCAAACTGAGTCTATCTGCAAGATAGGTGACCTGTTTCCTACAACAGAGTACATCAAGCTTGCCCTCAATGTTCCTTTACTGTCCCCCTGCTACTTAATACAAGCCCCAGATTGGTGCTGCCCCATGGAAGAAACCTAAGGAAGAAAAAGTGCTTAATGTCAAGACTGCCGTGGATGGAAACACACTAGAGAGTAAGTCTTAGAAATTGAGCATTTTTCCTGATTTTATGCTAGGCTTCTCAGCAAAGGGATCTTGGATGCATCTCTATAACATGTGTTGGAAGGAGTAGAAGATTCCGTTTAGAAAAGATGGGATTAGACTCATTGCAAGGACATCTGAAGCAGACAAAGAGTGATCCTATTGCATATGCTCCATTTCCCACAGTCTTCTCTGCAAATTTTATTTTTTTATTTCCAAGTTTATTTTATTTTATTTTATTATTTTATTTTATTGGGGAACAAGTGGTGCTTGGTTATGAGTCGGTTCTTCAGTGGCAACTTTAAGTCACTGTTTCTCAACTCTAATCTGACCATTGTGTACTCTAACTGGTGATGCCGAGACCAGCTCTCTTCAAACAATTTTATTTTTTATTTTTTGCCAGCAGCTCCCTGTTAAGATGTGACAGCTGGGGGTGTTAGAAGGAGACCAAAATATTAGAGGGGAAGAAAAGAGACTGGGAGAGATTTGCTTCCTCATGCCTCCTCTCTGCTGCCGCACAAACTCTAGCTACTTTTCACATTGTCAGCAGCAGTTTCCCCCTAGAAGAGCAGCTAAATCCAGTCTGCAGTTTTTTCAACACTTGCAGAAACAGCTTTGTCCTGCCCCCTTCATATATCCCAGCATTAGCCAACCAGAACGTTTTCCTCATGGCTCAGGGTTTCACCCCACTGGAGTCTTCCTTTGAGCCCAGAGACCTCGAACCCAGCAGAGCAGTGCTCCTTCCTCAAAGGTCTGAGTTTCAGCTCCATACTGCCTCTCCTCTGAGCTTTTAAGGATTCATAATTTCAAATTCTTCCCTTCCCTTTCTGTAGTTGCTACCTCCATAATACCTTAATGTTTTCCTCTTACCTTTTCAGTTATCTCATTAACAACTGTATACCTAGTTAATGATTTTTTAATATTGAGTATTCTCTGCTCCAATAACTGGTATGGGTTTATCTCCTGCCGGTGCCCTGTGTATATACCTTCCCACCTGGCATTTAAGTCAGATAACAAGACTAATGGGTGTGACCTTTGGCAGGAAGGCAGTGAGAACATTAAATTCTGATGGCTGAAAAGATTGTGAGTCTTTGGGAAATGGAGAAGGTTGTCATTTATTGAGAAGTTACTATGTGCAAGCACTGTGCTAATCATGTTGTCTCTAAAACACATTGTCTCTAAAACCTCACAATATTAAATTAATAGTATGAAAAGACTCATAATCTTTTTATAAATGAAAGAGGTTGAATTATTTACCCAAAGCTATACCAGGGGCAGAATTGAGATCCAGATTCAGGTTTTGTCGATGATGCCATCTAGTCTCAATCAAGAAAGGTACAAGTAAACCTCCAAGGTTCATTCAGTTTTGTTGCTATTCTTCAGAGGAGAGAGGGAGACAGGTAAAACATTTTTTTTTTTTTAAATTTAGGAGCAAAGATTGTTTATGTACATTGGTCTGTTTGCTCAGAAACAATCAAAACAGACAAAGTCCTAGGCTGGGATTTCCAATGAGCCTGCTGTAATTATTCCCTTAACAGGAATTGGTCATAACGTAGGAAATACCAATTATCCAACTCCCTATCACCTACTACCATAATCCCCTAGGAAAAACAAAACTAAACTAATATTTTTTAAAAGAAGGTATGTACCTATAATGTCTGCCTACTTCTGGACTGTCCTGTGCCCAAAATCTGTGTCCCTGGAATTTTTAAGGGTCTCATGTTTATTTTGATTAACACTCAGGAGTGGAGGTCATGATTATTACAAATGAGATAAGTTTGTGGGATTTTTTTCACCAATGCAGTCATCCACTTAGTCAACCTATTTTCAGGGAAAATCCTTCTAGCAATCAGGCATTTTTCTATCACTGGGGATCCAGAGATGATTGGAATATGGCCAGTGTCCACAAGGAACTCCTAGTTTATTGGCAGGGATACATCTAAAGACAGATAATTACAGTGCAGAGTAAGAAGTATAACATTAGAGGGAACTAGTGAAAACAATGGAGGCATAGTGCAGAGCTTCCTAGATGATGGGGTACGGTACACATGTAGGATGCAGCTGCATGACAGTGGGCTCAGCTACTAATCCTCTTAGCTCTTGAGGTGTGTAGCTAGTACTTGGAATGGCCAGAGCTGCAGCTGGTCACCCCTAGCTAGAAGCTGCATTCTATTTGCACCATGTATTGTAATAACACTTTGCATGTGTGTCACAATGAAGAAAATGTTGGAAGGCATTGATATACCAAAGGAAATGGCCAACCCCAGGGCCAGTAAGAGGGAATTTTTAGAAAATGTGATATGTGGGCCGGACACAGCGGCTCACGCCTGTAATCCCAGCACTTTAGGAGGCTGAGGCGGGCAGATTACGTACGAGGTCAGAGGATCGAGACCATCCTGGCTAACACGGTGAAACCCCGTCTCTACTAAAAATACAAAAAATTAACCAGGTGTCGTTGTGGCAGCCTGTAGTCCCAGCTACTTAGGAGGCTGAGGCAGGAGAATGGCATGAACCCGGGAGGCGGAGCTTGCAGTGAGCCGAGATTACTCCACTGCACTCCAGCCTGGGCGACAGAGCAAGACTCCATCAAAAAAAAAAAAAAAAAAAAAAAAAAGAAAAAAAAAAGAAAAAAGAAAGAAAATGTGATATGTGGCTGGATATTAGCATCTGATTAGAGGTTATGTACTGGGGCATTCAACACAGAGAGTACACCTTGTATAAACATACACATATGAAAGCAAGAGTTGTGTCCTGGAAACTATGGTAAGTCTGCGCAATAGGGAAAGGTGGAGAAGAGGTATACAACAAACCCAAAGAGGTAGGAAAGAACTAGATCCTGATACAAAGCTCAGATTTATGTTCTCTGTCATAAGATTATTAGACAATGTTGAGTATTTCACTCTTTTTTTAAAAAATATCTCGGACTAATTTTGGACCTACACAAAAGTTACAGAACTATTACAGCATGTTCTTGTTTTTCTCTATTTATTCTGATGTTAATATCTTATGTAACCATAGTACAATAATCAAGAATGAGATACTATCATTGATACGATATTATTAAAATACAGACCGTTTCCAAAATTCACTAGTTTTTCCAGTAAGGCCTTTTTCTCTTACAGGATTTTATTAAATGTCTCACATTGTATTTAGTTGTTATTTTGCCTTTATTTCTTCCAATCTATAATAGATTCTTAGTCTTTCATCATCTTTTATAATCTCGACACTTTTGAAAAATATTGGTATTTTATGGAATGATTCTCAGTTGGATTTGTCTGATGTTTTCTGAAGTGAAGCTATACTTTTTTTTATCAAAAATAATGGTGTGCCCTTTTCATATTAGGAGGTTCATGATATTGTTATATTTTACTAATGGTGATATTAACCTTGATCAGCTGGTTAAATTGGTGTCTTCTGAATTTCTCCACTATAAAGTTACTGTTTGTTTTTGTTTTGTTTTGTTGTTATTTTTTAAGTTGGTAACTATCATGGAGAGATACTTTGGGATGATGAAAATTCTATTTCTATTCAAACTTTCACCCAAGAATTTTACTACCCATTGGTAGAGTTTTCTACAACATTTGTTAGAGATGTTTACCTAATGCTGATTATCTTCCCTTCTTTCCTTTTTTCTGCATTTTTAATAAGAATTCTATTGTGAAGAAAAGCTGAGTAGGACAATAATGTTATCTTATAAAATAATAACATCTTATAGACAAATAACACATCAGAGGCTGAATTGGAAGTGGTGATTGTGGAGGTGTGTACTTTAGTGACCAACTTTGGAGCAAAGGAAGAGAAAAAGCAAGGCATTAGGAAGGCTTTTGCTCTATGTAGCTGAGGCTGTGGGAAACTCAAACAGAGATTCAGGAAAAGGGACAAGTCTGGGGAAGTATACCCTGATCTTTAAGAGGCAGATGCATTCAAAGCTCTAAACTCTTTTTTTTTTTTTTTTTTTTTTGATACAGAATTTCACACTGTTGCCCAGGCTGAAGTGTAATGGCGCGATCTCAGTTCACCGCAACCTCCACCTCCCAGGTTCAAGTGATTCACCTTGCCTCAGCCTCCCATGTGGCTGGGATTACAGGCACCCGCCACCACACCTGGCTAATTTTTTTATATTGTATTTTGTATTTTTTTTTAGTAGAGACGGGGTTTCACCATATTGGCCAGGCTGGTCTTGAACTCCTAACTTCGTGATCCACCTGCCTCGGCCTCCCAAAGTGCTGGGATTACAGGTGTGAGCCACCACACCCAGCCCTGGTTTTTTTTTTCATAAATGTTTTTACCAATGAAAAAAGGAGATTAAAATATCTGTTGATGTTATCTTGAGAAGCAGAACAAAGAAAGAACAGATTAGTGAATTGTCTCAAGTGTAGAATCCATATAAACATGCAGTATTGTACTATTTGTCAGTTTCAACCTGCAGACTGCCCATAGTGTACAGGATAAAATAGAAATACATGCAGGCAGGACCCTTCTGATCTGACTCTTGCCCACCCTTGCAGCCTCATCTCTTGTCACGCTTTGCCATTTTAGATCCCATGTTTAAAGCCATATCAAACAACTGACAGTCCCCTCGATATGTTGTGACTTTTCACACTTCATGACTTCACAAAATTTGTCTTTTGGGTCCATCTCTTCCCATCCTCCCACCAACCTAACCACATCCTCTGGCTGACTCCTACACCTTCTTTGAGATCCAAAGCATATGTGTCCTCCAAAGCTCTCCTGAAACCCTCAGGCAACCATGAATGGAACATGTATGTACTTCTGTTATTGTATTAAATACTCTGCATTACAATCATCAGTTCATATTTCATATAATTTAATGTCAATATTAAAAATGGCTTAGGTGTAATACCAATTAGTTGCTAATTATATGCCAGCATTTTACCTGTGTTATTTCTGTCTCCTATGAGGTGGTTACTATTGATTTTACTCACTTTATAAAGCAGAAAACAAGCTTAGAAATAAGAGGGAACTCGCCTGGGGTTACCCAGGTGGCAAGTGGTGTCCCAGGCATCTGGGTAGACAGGCCCAATATCAAACCACTATACTCTCTTACTCCTCTCTCTGACTCTTAAACTTCTGAAGGCACAGATAGTTTTTTGTTTTGTTTTGTGTCTTGATCCTCAGTTCACTGCATGAAGTGAGGAGCTGACAAGTAATAAAAGAGACTGGCATTTCTGGTTTGGCCTTTAGGGAGCTGAGTATGGGAGCAGGCACTTGGCCTTGCCATCTACCCTTACTACACAACCCCCTGCTTCTCACCAGTGTCTCAAGCCACCATAAAACCCTGTGTAAGAAAAGATGCAGGGAATATGTGTTTAGAGTCCCTCAGTTCACTTTCTCCACATACTGTCTTCAGGTCCATCCTGCCTGGCTTTATTTTGTGCACACAGCTGAGCAGGCCACATGTGTGGAAAAGGCTTATGATTGGAGTGAGCGAGGTGTCAGAACAAGATGAGCTTTGTGATCGCTCAGCTCTAGGGAGCGATTGTTGTTTTCAAGCCTTCACCCTCCCTCACACTTCGCACTCACTTTAATTGTGACCAATTTGGAAGTGCTATTTGCATCTGCTGGAATAAAATACGTACAGCTGTGGAAATAACAAAAAATGAAAACTCACTCTTAGTGGAGGTCGGGGGGGACCTTCATCAATTGCTACTGAGTACTTAAAATGAAAATGTTGCCTTTCCTAACAAACAGCACTGAGATTTTTCGGAGTGCAATTTTCTCTGCTCGTGCATATGTATGCAATAGATATCTTCAGATATACTTCTCCCCACGCTTTGGTTGGGGTTACAAACGCAGAAGTGGGCCTTCAAGACAGCCTTTTATTAGATCTAAAACCAGTGGGCTAAGTAGCACATCTTAAGTCATCATAAGATATAATTATTACTGAATTGAAAAGACACAAAACACCAAAAAAATTCTTAGAGTTGAGGATCAACCTAAATATTACTTCTTACTTCTCCTAATCCCCATTGTGCCAGATCAGTGCTTTGTATCTGGTAGATATTCAAGCACTATTTCCTGAGTCAATCGTAGGACACTCCAAACAATAAAATGTGAGAAGTCAGAAGGAAAGGGGAGGAAAAGGCACAGGACATGTATTCAGCCTCTACTACCTGCTGGATAATGTGCTTAAACCTCACAAAAACCTAAAGTGACTTTTTATTTTCATGTTATCAATAACGAGAACTCAAACTTAAAGAAACTAGTCTGTAAAGTTTTTAGAATTTTCACTCCTTGTTAAATCAAGGTAAGAAAACAGACTACATCCCACCACCCCTCTTCCCATGTGGGTCACATGGAAGCTGCCTCAAGTTGTCATTAAGGATGCTAGAGTTGGACCACCTGGGCCTGAATTCTGATTCCACCATTTGCTAGCCACATAGCTCTGGGCAAGATAAGTAAATTCTCTGGGCCTCAGTTTCCCCATGTGAAAAACTGGATTGATAATAATATCCATTTCATAGGGCTTTTGTGAGAACAAAATGAAATAACAATAAAGTCTTTAGAATAGTGTCTGGACATAGGCAGTACTTAATAACAGTACTAACTGCCATAGTTTGGCAAAAAAAAAAAAGACACTTAAGATTGGAATTTGTGTCTGATCCACATTAAATTCCTCTTTTCCCCACTTCATCAAGTAGCTTTCCTGAAAATTGAACCTTTAGGTATTCAGGTATTCACACTATCTTAAATTTTCTGTCGTTCTTTCCTTCCCTCCATCCTTCCTATCTCTTTTTTTTTTCTTTCCCTCCCTCCCAAACACATGGAATGGATAGGTACTCTTCTATGTACATACTGAGTTAGTTTCATTTTCAGAAACATTTTTAGAAACCAGTGCTCCCTCCTGATTCCAGTACTTTGCAAACACTGCTGCTTCTGACTTAGTCTTCCTGCATCACAGGCCCAAATTTTTGGGTCACCTATCTTCCTCCTGCATTCATCTTAGACTCAATGTCGCTTTTTCCAGGAAGCCTTGCTTGTCGCTACTGTTACCAATATCAACTCATTCCACTCTCACATCTTTCAAGACTTGAATGATTTGTGCTCCCTTGACCTTGATGGTTTTGAGTATTAGTTTTTCAATGGGCTTGTTTAGCATGTCTAGTCCTGCTTGGTAGAGGCCTCAGCTTGTTCTTTTTCATTTCTCCGAATTTTCTTGCTTGCCTCTAGGAAAGACCTGCATTCCATTTTGTTTCAATGACAGACCCTCAAAATTCAACTACAGATGTTAGATTCTACCGTGACTTGAATCCATCAACACCAATAAAGATAAACTCTTCAAAAATATCAAGTAAAGGGTATAAACAGACAAATCTACAAAAGGGTCCCATTTGTCTCTCCCTTGACCTTTAGGTGGATTACTTGAACGGTTTTCTGTTCTATGTGTCTGTGTGAGGGTAGGTATTACATACATATTTTTCACCCTTGTATTCCCCAGCTTGGAGGTCAATGCCTACTATTAGGTTGTAATTAATAAGTATTTGCTAAATAAATTTAGTAAGTTAAATAAGAATTAGTAATAAATGAATAAAGTTATTTTCCTCCTTCCAGTCTTGCTTTTTTTCTAATTTATTGTTTCTAATGTCTGCTGAAATGATCTCTCAAACTTATACTACATTTTCTTTCAAAAATTTCATTTCTTTTTCAAGACCTTCAAGGTGAAGTCACGGCATCCAACCAACTAGGATCATCATGATCTGTCCCTTGAATCAATTTTTTTATCTTTGTTCAGTTCTTCAAACATTATGCTCCAGCTATAATGAAATATTTTCATTTTTAGGAGTGTTTTCAGAAATTAACGCTTTCTTCTCACTCTGGTACTTTACAAATGCTCCTACTTCTAACTTAGTCATACTGCTACCATATGCCAAAATTTGTCTGGATATAACTTCATCCTTTAGGTCTTGGCCTAGGTGTTACCTCCTCCAAGAAAGCTTGTTGACTTTCCCAAAAACTTGTTGAAGTGCTTCTCCAGTGGTTTTCATAGACTGTATTATAAAGGCATCTTTGAGTATTTGTCTCTCTGACTTAATAGATAAATAAACAAATACAATTGATTATACTTCATTTATTCCTTTCTTTAGAAAATTGTCTATTGGATTATTGTTTTGTGACTACATTTATTCTCTTCTACTAACCTAAATGTTTAACGAGGACAGGATTTTTATCTTTTTAACCCTCTCATGACTAATGAGTCATTATTTAATTAGTCATAATTTCATAGTTGTAGTGTAATAAATATCTCAGTGTTTTTAATGTACGGAAAGGATGGCTCTTAGTAGTGTGTCAAACAAGTAGAATGATTCTTCATTCAGTCTTTATCCAGGGACTGTTGTATGCCAAGCACTGTGCTAGGTGAGAACAATATAATAGGTCAACAAGTACTCTATCCCGCAGGATACTACATTCTAGTGAAGGAGACACACTAGTCAATACACATAGCACGTTATAATTAAAAGTTGTGATTGGAGCTATAAAATA
Organism: Homo sapiens; assembly: GCF_000001405.40. NCBI lineage: Eukaryota > Metazoa > Chordata > Mammalia > Primates > Hominidae > Homo > Homo sapiens. Next base: position 80,375,179 of record NC_000011.10, read on the forward strand.
AAATCATCAATTTGGAGAATCAGAAGACAGAAGCAGAGGCTATAAGGAGAGTAGTTAGTTGAAAGGCTAGTGCTGAAGTCCAGGTGAGAGTGGGAAACAATTGACATAGCCTCTGTTAGTAAAAATGAAATGAAGTGGAAGGACTCAAGTGGTGGTTCATAGGGAAATTATTTGGATTTGGTTATAGATTGCATGTGAGGTGGTAAAGCTAAAGGGATCATCAGCACTGACTCCTAGGTTTCTGGATTGTCTGGTTGCAGGGATGGGTGACCCTTTCACTGGGCTAGACAGCAATGAAGGAGAGCCAAGTTTTTTAGGAAAAATGATGAGCTCGTGTTTGAACATTTTGAGCCTGAGATTTCTCTGATGAATCCAAAGACTAAAACAAGGTGATTGGATTTATAAGACTAAATGTGAGAAGAGAAAACACTAGGTTTCATATACACATTTGAGAATTGTTGGCATATAGATGATAACTGAAGCTATTGTCTGAATAAAATCGTGAAGGAAAAGAGCAGAGGGAAGACAAAGGAGCTTAAAAATGAGATCAACGGAGTAATAGCTGCTTAAGACAAAACCCTTAGGGATCATCTCTGATTTCTCCATCAGGAAGTCCTGTCTGTTCTAACTCTAAAACATGCTGACTAGCATTACTTCTCACCATTTTCTCATCTGCCTTCATCATCTAATTGATCTCTCCACTTCCATGAAGTCATCAGTAGTTCATTCCTTACAAAGAAGCCAGAATCATTTTTTTAAAAACATAGATCTGATCAAGTCATTTTCCTTTTGAAATTTTTCAGTTGCTTCCCAATCCCTTAGCCTGAATGTAAACTTTTAACCATGGCCTTCAAGACTTACTTGATTTGCCTCCGTGATATTTCATATTGATCTCATCCTTATCCACAATAGTCCAGTGATACTGGCCTCCTTGGTTTAAGTCAAATACAACAACTTGTATTTTCTAATTCCATTTTCCAAATTCCCATTCGCCATTCTCTCTGCTGGAAATTTTCTTCCCCCATCCTCTCATTGGACGGCTTCTTTTGGTGTCTGCTCAAATGTCACCTGAGAGAGGCTTTTTATTGACCCTTCATCTAAAATAGCAACACACACCCTTCAGTCAATTTATCCCCTTTAGTTTCTGCATAGCGTTTTATTTTACTCTCAATAATTACATTAACTTTTAAAATTCTTTTTCATAGTTTGTGTCCTCCACTAGACTGTAAGCAAATGAGAATATGTGCTCATTGCAACTGCCTCATTCTTTATTGTTTCCCTAGCTTCAAAAACAGTGGCTGGAGTAAATTATCTTTCAAAAGTGAATGCCTGAAGGAGTGAATAAGGGCCAAAACAGAGGGAATTCAGAGGACTAGGATTATTCCTAAATTCACCACTGTTCCTCTGAGTGATGCTAAGGGTGTCACTCCATCCTCTTGAGATTTCATTTTCTTATCTCCAAAATAAAGGGCCAACTTGTTTAACCTCTGAATTTGTGAGTGCCATTTTCTCAGTACTCAATATCCAAATTGCCTTCGTTCATTTGAAGAGAAGGCTAAAAAGCCGAAGAGCCATTGGATGGTGTATAAAATGGCAGATGCTTTTCATCACTGCTTATCCCTTTGTTATAAATAGTAAATAATATGGCTCTTAAGTGAGGCCAGATCCCACCTGCTGTGAACCACTCACCTATCTCTTCTGCTCTTTAAAGTACATTTATGCCACCATTACAGTCCTAGATCATTTTTTATATGGCTCTGTATTGCTCATACAGTTGAGTTTGGTGCTTTTGTATATTTTATGTCATTGATTAGTGGCCTTTTGTTTCAGCTTAAATAATTCCTTTTAGCAAGTCCTGTAAAGTAGGCCTAGTGGAAATGAACTCCCTTAGCTTTTGTTTGTCACTTACATGTGAAATCAAAAACAAACTCATAGATGCAGAGAGTAGAAGAGTGGCAACCAGAGGTTGGAGATTGCAGGGAATGGGGACATGTTGGTCAACAGGTAAAAAAAATCTCAGACAGAAGAAATATATATATTTTTTCTGAGATCTATTGCAGAGTATAGTGAATATAGTCAATAACACTGTATTGTACATTTCAAAATTTCTAAGAGTAAATTTCAGTGTTCTCACCACAAAAAGTGATAAATATTTGAGGTGCTAGATATGTTAATTAGCTTGATTTAATTATCTCACATTGTAGTCATAAATCATAACATCACTTGTACTGCATAAACATATACAATGATAATTTATCAATTTATAATCAAATTCTTTTAAAAGTACATTTATTTTCAGGATTATAAATATTTCCTCCTCTTTCTCCATCATCAACATCATCATCATTACCATCATCATCACAGGAACTAATATTCAGTGAAGGCTTCTTACATGCCAACCACCCTACTTAATGTTTTATAAATGTAATAGAATATTATCCTTTTCTGAAATCCATGGAAAAATTCATACACCACATTTCATGAGAGATTCCTGAAGCTTAGAAAGTTTTAGTGACTTGCCTAATGTCACATAGCAAGTGTGTAGTGAAGTAAGTATTCAAACCCAGATCTGCCTGAATCTGAAACCTTTGCTCTTAATCAGTATTCATATTGCCTTTGCTTCAAGACATTGGAAATTTCAGAGTAGAAATAATAAAAAAAGAAACCTGAAAATATGCTTCTTGTGTAGCCTTCTTTACAACAAAGAGACAAGCTCAGATCGATGCTAAAATAATTAAATATTTTACTTTTGTTACTTATGCTGTTTGCCATCATGACCTTTGTTAGTGAGGAGCTCATGAAGGTAAACAGTATATGCTGTTAACAGTTCCATTAGCTCCTATTAAGAATGTCTAAATAATGCATCTAAATAACCCATCATTTTAGAAAGGCCCGTAAGAGCTAAGCAACAGACTAAATCTTTCAGAATAATCAGAACATGAAATTATTTTTAATCACCAAAATGGTCCTATTAATTTTCTGAAAGATTTTTTTTATAATGCATAATTAAATAAACCACAATTTTTTCCTGATGCCTATATCATCATTTTTTCACATTATGACTATCAGAATGAATGTTTGCTAAGAGTGAATAGGAGTAAAAGATAATAATTTCCAATAGAAATGATAACTGAGTACTTGTACAACAGAATTGTTTGTTTAAACCACAGGACTAGTGTTGTATCCCAGGGATTCCAATCCTGCCATTTCATTCTGCATTTGTTCCCAAAACAATAATTAAGGATACACATTCAACTACATGGAAGAACGAAGGAAATGTGAGTGCTTTCACATATCAGAAATCTAAACATAATTCACTACGAGTCTCAACATTCTCTAAAGAAACCATGATTTCTTATAACTACAAGACTTTGAGCCTCGTGTTTCTCTGGACTGAGTTGGTTTGGTGGAGATCTTTGAAGAAAGGTTTCTCTACTTGACAAATTCCTACTCTCCAGTGAAAACTAAATAGATATTTTCCAATTATCTCTTTTTATATTTTAATATTACTATTTAGAGATGGGATCCACTATGTTACTCAGGCTGACTTCAAACTCCTGAGCTAAAACGCCTTCCACCTCAGGCTCTTGAGTAGCTGGGACCATAGGCTTGTGCCACAGTGCCAGGCTTCATAGAGTATGTTTATTAAATGAACACATGACAATGAGGAAGAGGGATGCTTTTACCCGAATCATATGAACTGCAGGAAAAAAGTCTTCAATAATGGGAATCTCTGAGGAATTACAAACATGCCCATAAAGGAAAGCAACACTTGTGAATCTCTGCAAGTCTTAAGGGTACACCACCAATGTAAGAAATCATGAGTCGAAGTAAAACTCCTCTCTATCACCTTTGCTAGTCAGAAACTGGCTGACAAGTTGGGGTGGTGAAATAGGAAAGCCAGCCATGTCTTCAACCATAACTTCAGGCTTCTTCCGCCTCAAGTAAATTTAAGATGAAATTTAATGCTTAAGTGTGAGTTTAGTTAAAAATCTTGAACTGGACTTATTGACACTGTGTTTTTAATTTAAAGTAACTTTATGACTTTCTAACTTTATGACTTTTTAACTTTCTGACTGTGAGCAGAAGAGTCATGGGACCTGCTGAGCTTTTAACTAGCAGTGGGAGAACAGATAAGCTCTTCCAAGTAACTTTCATAGTAATGGTGGATATCTTAGCTCAGGCTGTTATAACAAAATACCATAGACTGGGTGGCTTAAACGACATTTATTTCTAACATCTCTGAAGTCTAGGAAGTCCAAGATGAAGGTGCTGACGGATGTGACTCCTGGAGAAAGCCCACTTCCTGGTTTGTAGACAGCCGTGGTCTTGCTGAGACCTCTCATGGCTTGTCCTCAGTGCCAAGTGTGTGGGAAGAGAGAGATCTGTCTTCCTCTTCTTATATAGGCACTAATCCCATCATGAGGGCCTGCACCCTCATGACCACACCTAAACCCAACTATCTCCCAAAGACCCTGCCTCCAAATTCTGTTCTCTTAGGCTCTGCAGTGTCCTGGATCTGGAATTATGCTACAAATATATGGAGGAAAAAAAAGGGCAATTGTGTGGAGTCATAGCATGTAAGAGCCAGGAGGAACCTTAGAGCTAGTCTCATGCAGATTCTGTAAAACAGTTATTGAGGCCTGGTGAATTTACATAGGTGAATGGCTTAAAAACCAACAAAAGAGGAGAATGACAAAGGCAGGTGTAGCACAAAAAATAACATAATTACTGAGTACAAAGGCAGGCGTAGCTCAAAAAATAACATAATTACTGAGTTCTTACTGTTTGTCAGACACTGAGTATTTCATTTAATCCTTAAATAAACTCTATTAAACAAGTATATTTCCTCATTCTTCAGGTAAGGATATTGACACACAGAAGGGAGGTCAAGCAACTTTCTCAAGTTAACACAGCAAGTAAGTGGAAGAACTGGGCTGTGAATCTACATCTACTTAACTAGTCTCTGGTTCCTCCAACTTCCAGATGTGGCCTGGGCCTCATTACCTGGAAGATCAGCTACTCTTTCTTCCTCAGGTGACTCACCCAAGACCATTGCATTGTAATTAATTATAACAGTTCATAAGTGTTTATAGATGTAAAGAATAAAGCACATTTTTAGCTTATTTTTATATTAAAAATAACTCCATAGATTATAAAAAGAGATAACAGTAATAATAATGTCATCATCATGATTTTTCTTATGAAAGACATTTTTTTGTTCTGAGTAAATGAGACAACTTAAAGTAACAGAGGTCACGAGTGACCCAAAGTCACACATCTATTATTTAGCACACTGTAATCTTATTTAATGTATCCATTCAATAAGCATTTGTTATGAACCCACTATTTTCAAAAAAATATATGAGATGACTTGGAGATACAAAATAAGATATAAAATTAAAATAAATCAGGAAATAAAAGCAAAATAAAATAAAGAAGAACCAGGATAAAAATTAGTAACCAACATACATTCATTACATTGTAAATAATTTCTAGTGGAGATTGGAAGAAAAGGTTAACACAGAAGGCCTGACACAGCATCCTTAGAAACACCTCCAAAGTTGACCTTAAGCTGGGTTCTAGGAACTTAGACTTCTGGAGGGTTTCCAAACTAAGAGTAGTTTACTACACCTAAATTACTTGTACAGACAAGGTGGCTTATGCTGAATACTTCCTTTCCTTTTGGGCATCTGGAATTTGGGTGCATGCTAGGCAGTGAGTGCCTACATGACCAGCCCCCAATCATAACCTTGGGGCATTGAATCTCTAATGAGCTTCCCTGATCAGTATTTTATATTTGTCACAACTCATGGCTGGAGAAATTAAGTATGTCTTGTATGATTCCACTGGTAGAATAATAATATGGCTGTTATTTGTGGTATGTCTACTCTTTATGAGGGAGTGCATTAAACACCACATAATAACAGCATCTCACTTATTCTCCATAACAATGCTATGTCACAATTATTAGTATGCTCATTCCAGGAAGAGAAAATTGGGGTTAGAATGTTTACATAACTTGTCCAGGGTAAAATTTGCCTAATGCCTGTGCTTTTAGATAGCCACTTGAAACCATTACCATGCTTTTTCTTTTTTTTTCTGTTTGTACCAAGAGAGAAATTTCCTAAATGAGACACTGATGTTGCAAACTCTATTTGATCATATTCCAGCAGTAAATTCTGTAGCAAGCTTCATATGACTTTTTCTTATAATGTCCTTCTATGCAATCAAAGCAAAGTAAGCCACTTGTCACACAGCTCAGATTGGATGAGAGGGAACTTGAATCCAGCTCTCCTAAGTACAAATCCTTTACCACTACCTTCTCATGTAAGAGCATTCCTACATATGTGACTTCAAACGTCCTGATGGAGTCTCAATTTGCTCTGCACAATAATCTTTTAGACATGCTAATTATTTTCCTAGGAACCTAACTACAGGGAGAAGAGGCAACATAAATCACACACTTTTTTAAAGGACATATTAAAAAGCTTGAAACGGAAATTTCTCCCCAGGGCTCCTTTCACCAATTTGAGAAAGCTGGAATTGGGGAGGTACTATTATTTATTCCATTTGTGCTTCACTGTACCAGTGCCCCTCTTTCCTCTCCCACATGCCAGACAAATATCATGAAGAATTTCAGATAAATGAAACAACACTTTCCAAAGAATGTTTCAAGAAGCTTATCCTTCTGCTACCTTAGAACCTTCATTCTTGCTCCCTGTCCCACCAATTGTTTGGATTTCACCTCTCTCTCACCTCTTCTGTTAACATTATTAAGATAATCAACATAAGATGCTCCTTTCTTTCTAGGTCTTAAAAATAGCTTACTTTGTAAACAAAACAATCAGAACAAAATAAAGCATAGTTCAAATTTAGAAACCAAGGACAATTTTCTTGCCCCAAGAATTATTTAAGAGTCACCTTCATTGGCAAGTTCTGATCTTTCATGTTTTTTAAATAACTTTTTCAATTCAAAGTACTTCCTCTCTTCTTTTGTTTACATCAGTGGCTCTTCATCTCACACATCTCACACAGATGATTGACCTATTTTCATTAGGTATTTCAACTATAGTGTGTGTTAGTTTCTTGCAGCCTGGGGAGTTCCCAGGCCAGCGTGCTTTAGAAATAGGTGGATTAGGGACTTGGCTATTACACTGCTGACCATCATTATGTACTTTAAGATTCATAATAAACAGAAACATGCTAGGATCAAAGAAAGTTTGTTTATGGTTTATTTAAGCCTTCCTTGGCATTTGAATAGAAGTTTCTCACCCAGGGCCTGGCAATGGGCTAACAAGTCACAGTTACATACCGTAAGTTCTCACTTAATGTCACCCATAGGTTCTTGGAAACTGCTACTTTTAGGAAAATGACATATAGACTAATTGATATAAGTTGCTACGGCATATTTCTTGTCACAAATACATTACCAGGCTTCTAAATAAAGACCAAAATACTTCTAACATTAAACACTGAAAGAAATGTGAGCAATATATACACATAAGAAAGATTAATAAAAACAAGTAAGATATTATTTACTGAATTTTTCCAGTTCAGGGTCTCAGGAGGCTGGAATCTATTCTAGCAGCTCAGGAATGGTGCTGGAAACCCACTCTGGCCAGGATGCCATTTTATTGTAGGGCACATGTAGACCCACATCCACACTCACTCAGACAGGAACAATGTAGACACATCAATTAGCCTGATCCACATATCTTTGGGATGTGGTTGGAAACCAGAGTACCCTGAGAAAACCCACGCAAATATGGGGGCGATAGGCACTACACACAGACAGTGCCCTGACCACCCCCTGGCTGGGGAAGTGATTTTTTTTTTCTCATCAATGTTATAACAAAATTACATTGAATGAAATGACACTATTTGAGGACCGGCTATAGATTGTCCCCTAGTTATTGATATTTATCAAAAGTCTGTCCCTTAATATCACTTAGATCCTCAGAGAAACAAGGAATTTTTGGAGAATTAGGTAACTTTTTTTTTTTTTTTTTTTTTTTTTTTTTGTTTAAAGCAGCCTTGCTCTGTAGCCCAGGTGGTTCAGGGCAATGCCCTGGCCATCCTGTGAAATGCACCTAGGCCACAGGTAGCAGTTGACAGTGTGAGGCAGGTGCTACATTGTTATGCTGTGAGTGAGTGCCCTAGAAAACAGCTGATACAGTTTGGCTGTGTCCCCACCCAAATCTCATCTTGAATTATAGCTCCCATAATTCCCATATGTCATGGGAGAAACCTAGTGAGAGGTAATTCAATCATGGGAGCGGGTCTTTTTCCTGATAGTAAATAAGTCTCATGAAATCTGATGGTTTTATAAAGGGGAGTTTCTCTGCACACACACTCTCATGTAAGACATCCCTCTGCTCTTCCTTCATCTTCTGCCATGATTGTGAAACCTCCCTAGCCACGTGGAACTTGAGTCCATTAAACCTCTTTCCTTTATAAATTACTCTGTCTTGGGTATGTCTTTATTAGCAGCATGAGAATGGACTAATATAACAGCAGAAAACCAGCCTGAGCTTTGTCAATAAACAGGGTGCAACTGAGTGTCAGTCCTTCAAGGAAGTTTTACAGGAATACTGGGAACACCAGCTGCCAGACCTGCTGGCCTTGTGGGAGGCTGCTATTTGATTAGCCCCTCCCAGTGTGCAAGCTCGAACTACCAGTCCAAGCTAACACATTGCCAGACACCTCCAGCAGGGGGGACCCAGGCCAGCAGCAGACATTCCTCTTATCTTTTTACCGTCATCAACTACAAGAGATTTTTCTCCAGAAAGAAAGGCTACAGATCAGCAATCAAGAGTTAGAAGCCCCGTTTGGGTTGATATCTTCCAACATATAAAGGGTTTATAGTTCATGATTCTATTCAGAAATGTCACTGATTTGATCATCTTGCTGTATGTTTCACAACCAATCTATTTGAGGACATACTAGGATATTCTATCGTTTAAGTTAATCATTCTAAGGATACATAGAATAGCCTTGGGAGATGGGGAATGCTTAGTTACATCTGATTTAAAGATCTTAGATGCTAAAAGCACATCATCTGTATACTGACTAAGTGAATGAATTAATTAAAAAAAACTGGAATTATTTTGACCAGTGAAGATTTGGAATTATCTGAGTTCTCAGTTGTCCATTTGCCTGAACACTGCAATCGGCTCAACACTAAATATTGAGAAAAATGTTGACCATCTTGACTTTGCCTTGGATACTGCTTGATAGCCTCCTAAAATTAGAGGTATGAAGTCTGTATATTATATTTAGGCTATGATTTTCTCAATGTTCTCCTTTTTCATGAGATGTGATTCCTGGCTCCAGTTCAGATAGCTATTAAAGAATATGGCTCTGGCCGGAAACGGTGGCTCATGCCTGTAATCCCAGCACTTTGGGAGGCTGAGGCAGGCAGATCACCTGAGGTTGGGAGTTTGAGACCATCCTGACCAACATGGAGAAACCCCATCTCTACTAAAAATACAAAATTAGCTGGGCATGATGGCACACGCCTGTAATCCCAGCTACTCGGAGGCTGAGGCAGAAGAATCGCTTGAACCCAGGAGGCAGAGGTTGCGGTGAGCAAAGATCACACCACTGCACTCCACACTGGGCAGCAAGAGCAAAACTCCATCTCAAAAAAATAAAAAATAAAAATAAATAAATAAAAATAATAAAATCAAATCAAATAAAATAAAGATGGCTCTGAACTCACCCCAAAACATAAAATAGATGTGCGCAGGTAGTTATTTCATGGAATGTAACCTCAAATATACTGCCCATCAATTTTTACCCAAATCTTAAGAAAATTGTGCTTATCAAGAATCACCTGAAGACCATTCCAGTCCTTCCGTTCCACTGGATACTGAAGTCCATGACTAGATCACTTCAAAGGAGCCGAGAATATGCACAGCAGGGACTGTCCCATCACGTACTAGTCTGTTCTCACGCTGCTAACAAGAACTGCCTGAAATGGATAATTTATAAAGAAAAAGAGTTTTAATGGACTCACAGTTCCACATGGCTAGGGAGGCCTCACAACCATGGTGTAAGGTGAAGGAGGAACAAGAGCAGGTCTTACATGGTGGCAGGCAAGAGAGCATGTGCAGGGGAATTACCCCTTATAAAACCACCAGATAGGCCGGACCCAGTGGCTCACACCTGTAATCCCAGCACTTTGGGAGGTGAAGGTGGGCAGACTGCAAGGTCAGGAGTTCGAGACCAGCCTGACCAACATGGTGAAACCCCATTTCTACTAAAAATAAAAAAAAATTAGCTGGGCGTGGTGCGTGTGGCTGTAGTCTCAGCTATGCAGGAGGCTGAGGCAGGAGAATCGCTTGAACCCAGGAGGTAGAAGGTTGCAGTGAGCTGAGACTGCGCCACTGCACTCCAGCCTGGGTGAGAGAGAGAGGCTCTGTCTCAATCAATCAGTCAATCCACCAGATCTTTTGAGACTTACTCACTGTCACGAGGACAGTATTGGCAAAACCTGCCTCCTGTCAGGTCCCTCCCAGGACATGTGGGGATTATGGAAACTACAATTCAAGGTGAGGTTTGGGTGGGGACACAGCCAAACCATATCACATCATATCTTGAGAGACATGTATCTACTGAACTGTGCCTTAGTTTGATGGGGTCAATCTTTAGTGACGGATAGTATAAAAATACTGCTTCGAAAACCTAATCAAAATATCTGACATATGAATATTGTTGAAAATGTTGCTCATCACATTACATATTAGCTTGATTTTTTTCTGGTCACTATACAAGGCATAAATGGTGATATTGCTTCTGAGTATCTCTTCTATTTTTATTTTATGGGCACTAGAAACTCTGTGGTTCCCTTTTCATACCAGCTGCTGAAAACGTACAATCAAACTTGTGGCCCAATTAAAGAAATTACACAGGACTTAAATAGTAGAATTTTTATATATTAATATTATACATGGCTTCATAGTTTCATTCCAATGCTCATTTTCCTTTGCCCCTCCACTATTTTTCAGTATGAGTATTTTAAATTGCTGTATATTTTTAGGAAAGATGCCTTGCATGATGGCTGGAACAAGATGGGGAATAAATATTATATAAATAGTATGCTAATTACTTATGATTGTGCTTGAATAAAGTCATATTGACAGTCTTGATTCAGGCCCCTAGAATTAATGGCTCATACACACACACACACACACACACACACACACACACACACACACACACACATTGCTGAGTCCCAAGCAAAAGGCAGCCCCTGGATTTCCTATGACATTTCTAAGGGAACTAACTACCGTAAAGAGGCTTGGCTCCCAAGACCCTCGCTGATATTTCTGCCTAAATTGCTCCTCTAAACCATCATCGCAGGAAACATTTTTTGACCACCACATTCCTTCTTCCTGCTGCAAAGTTGAATTTCCTTTGAGACAGCTTTCTACCCTACATAAAGGCTCTAGACTGCATTTCTTTTTCTTTTTTTTTTTCTTTTCTTTTTTCTTTTTTTTTTTTTTTTGAGACGGAGTCTCGCTCTGTCGCCCAGGCTGGAGTGCAGTGGCGCGATCTCGGCTCACTACAAGCCCCGCCTCCTGGGTTCACGCCATTCTCCTGCCTCAGCCTCCCAAGTAGTTGGGACTACAGGCGCCCGCCACGATGCCCGGCTAATTTTTTGTATTTTTAGTAGAGATGGGGTTTCACCGTGTTAGCCAAGAGGGTCTTGATCTCCTGACCTCGTGATCTGCCCGCCTCGGCCTCCCAAAGTGCTGGGATTACAGGCGTGAGCCACCGCGCCTAGCCTAGATTGCATATAAACTGTTACTGGATTCTGTTTATATGTTTATCTCCACTACTAGACTATGGAATTCCTTAGGCTGGTCTTATTCCTTTCATATCCACAATACCTCAAACATAACAGGTATTCCATTAAGTGAAATTTGGAATCAGAAATTATTAATTTAAATTGGGTAGAAAAACCAAAGTCATGAAAGGATTTAAAATTAGAAATGTCATTTCTGGTATTCTAATATAAGTAAATTAATTCAATGGATTAATAAAAGGTTTTTTACAATCTATCTTTTTAGATACAGCAATGCGAGCATCACTAATCAACAGTGTATCTGTTATAAGGGTGTTCCCAGACATGTCCAACATTTGGTCTGATGGGACAGACATTTAGAACTTTGGATTTAGAATATAAGCTTTTCGTACTCAAACATTAACTTAGACACAGCCTGAAATAGAGGTTAAGCTGGGGTTTGATCTCTGCCTTTAGTTTTTGTAATCTCTTTGCCTTGAGGAAAATTGCTCAAGCTCTCTGATCTTCAGTTTCTCAGACATAAAACACAGCCATACTGTCTGCCTCACGGGGTTGTAAGGATCAAAAGAAATCATGCTACATAAAGCCTTCCACTCAATGCAGAGACAAAATAAGGGCTCAATAAATGGTAGCAATTATAGTACCAATGCACGCAAAGCACTGTTCTAGGCACTAGGATACAAAAATAAGACATGCTCCCTTGTCCTTGAAGAAATTACAGTTTATTGGTGAAAACTGCATAAGTAGGCTTTCACTGGATCATGATAAGTGAATTACAGAACTCTGGATGTGGTATCGTGAGAACACAGAATATTGGCACCTTAGTTCCTTAACCCTGCATCCTTCTATATGCTTTAATAATGGCAGAATAATAATTGGAGACATTTAAGAATGTCTTCTTCTTCCCTGTAACAATGTATAATCCTGATGTGACAATAAGGCTACCATTAAGCTAAACAATAATTAAAAAGAGAAATTATCAGAGGACTTCTAAAATTGAAAGCCTTTATACAGATATAAGGTAGGGGGCAGTAAGATCTGAAAGGGAGATGCACCAGCAAAACTATCTTTCCTTTCCTCCCCAGTTTCAGATGGAAAAACCCTTCCATGTTAGCTTAAGGGAACAGTTGAAGGGGACACAAGAGAGTTGCTTAGTTGATCTGTCTTTGTGCCTCAACCACCGTGAGCTCAAGGACAGATGGTGAGGGAGGGGTGAAGGTATGTGAGAGGATTTCCTTTGGAATTTCAGGGATTAGAGAGAAGAGAGGACATGGGCCTCCTTTAGTCTTCTTTGCACCTCTAGGAGGTGAATGTCAATGAGGAGGCTTAGAATGATGAGTCACTGCTTATAGCCTGGACTTTTCTGTAGCAAGTGTATGACTGAATGACACAGAGAGATTAATTTTGATAATCATGGCAAGACAGGGGCAAGGAAATGTATATCAAAAAGACAAGGTGTGGTTAATTCCCACTGGGGTTTAGGGGAGGGCACCAAGACATCTCCATGTGGGACCAGTGACAGGGGCCCTCATGGGTGCCCGAAGCTTGCCCACTTGTTATTTCAGCATGCTCCTTACACGACTATGCAGTGGATTGAATTGGGAGTGAAGACCAGTATGACATCAAGGCAGATGAAGTTCCTGCATAGAGGGGCTCCTCCTCAAGGAAACTGTGCTGGCAAGAGAGTAAGCTCTCTGGAGCTTGCAGTCAACCCCAGAGAGAAGCAAGATGGAAACTCTCCAGGAGAGGAATCTAAACAGAACGTGATCGAATTACACATCCTATAGACAAAGAAGCACTGCACTGCACTGAAGCTGAATCGATCTGAAAGTGACCAGATTTAGTTTCTTCAGATTTAGTATCAAAACACTACAATGCACTTTAGAAAAATAGTTACATTTTCACCTTATAGGAATCTATGTTTCTGAAATTTATACCTGCTACTTAGCATCTCCCTCTTTTGTGATTCTCTGGCAGGTCAAGAGCCAAAGGGAAAAAATAAAAAGCATAATAAGGTTCACGTAGACCCAAACATGCTTGTCTTGTTCAGGTATCTTGATGCCATGCATAGGGCCCAAAGCAGTGTGGCTGCTGAGTTTCTGATAGATTTGTGACAGGTATTTGTGACTGAAATGACTAATGATCATGAAGATCATAAAAATACACTATGGAGACGAAGTGTTTTTGTCATCCTGGACTGTTTCAGAAAACATTCACTAGGCTATGGTTCCCAGTTTTGATGTACAGAATAAATTATGTTCATAGGGTCTAGATACTTTTGTGGCCTTGCCCTGGATAGTCCATGCACAATTTCTGGCCCAGAAGCTGTAGCCTTATATTTACTGCAATGCAAAATACTTCAATGCAAAAGCATATTGGAACACTAAGTGAGAATGTGGAGTAAGTAGAGAGACACTTGGGTGCCCTTTATAATAGGAACATGTAAATCTTTCTGAAATCCTAGCACTTTATAAGCTACCTTAAGTTACCAATTACTTGTTTAAAACAAAAACAAAAACCTCACAGCATGTGTGCGCAGAGAACCTCTGCTCCAGCCTGTGACATCCTGTGAGGTTAGAGTTCCTGCCTCATTCAGTTTTGTATCCACAGTGCCCCCCAAAATGCTGGTGTATACAGAAGAGATTCAGTAAACATTTAATTCAAGTCCACTTGCAATATTCGAACCCTTGGAAATTTTTTTTTTATTAAAAAAAAAAGTTCTTCTGAAATTCTATGCCCAGAATGTGTGAGTGCTAAAATAATTGAAAAGTTTGTCAGGAGGATGGGGAGAGAATGTGTTTTATAACAGACTAGTCTGTCACAATAAAGTTTTACATATTCATATGCATATACATTTACAAGCATCTATTTTCATATGACACATTTTATTTTCCCTTTTTGTGCCTACCACTAAGCTTTTTTGTCCCAATATAACGTCATTAAATGTTTTATTTTGTCAAGAATGACTTTTCATGATTCTCTCAATAATTATAATACTTGCAGATTTCAATATAATAAAATCCCTTATCCACAGATAAGGATGTTGAGATTCACAGGAATTAAGAGACTTTCTCAAGGGATCATCTGTGACAGACACTTTGCTGAGGATTATCAGATCATCAATTATAAATAATGTTTAAAGACTAGCCAAAGGAACTTCAATGGGAGACAGTAATAAATATTGCTCTGTCATGCATTGCATCAGGAGTCACTAATCACACTAAACTATACATATAAATAGATTATATTACTAAAATACAAAGGAGTTCTGCAAACTCCTTTGCAGTTTCTCCAAATAATTTGGAGAAAAATTAAAAGTACAAGAAATAGATTTGAAAAAGAGGATTTAGTCTTATTTAAGCCAAAAAAAAGCTTAAATCCACCTACCACATAAGCAAGTCCCTACACATTAAAGTCACGCTATCATAGCTTTCTACAACAAGAATATACGAGTGCATACTATGTCAAAGGAGAGAGATGTCATATGTTCAAATATGTTTGCCTTTTTCTCTAAGCAGAGACATTCCCTTCTACGTGCTTATTGCTTTTCTGTGCCTTTGACACTGCATAAAATACTTGGTTAATAGTTCCTTCACAATCTGTTAGGTTCCTCTCTTAATCAGCTGCATTATAGCATAGCCAAGTTTCTGACTATACATATATATATCAGAAACTTGGCTATGCTATAATGTATTGCATGTTGTATTGGATGCCAATCAAGTGTCAAGAATATATATTCTTGACACTTGATTGGCATCCTTTTGACACTTGATTGGCATCCAATACAATTTTTTTCTGGCTTATCTGCCATTACTTGTGTCCCTGAGATCTGCCACGTTTCAACCCTAGCATATCACTTAACACACTATATTATAAGCATTTAGTTATTTTTATGTTTATCTACTAAAATGTAAGTTCCTTGATGGCAAACACTCTATCAAACTGGCTTTTTAAGGTGTCTCATATACAGGGTAGGTGTATGTTGATCAAGTCAGTGAGCAAGAGAAATAACATTAAGTGCTTGACATTGAGTGAGAAAACTTTATTACAGGGCCTGGGAAGCTAATCTACACAGATTTAATCAACTGTTAATATCCATGAGAGGGAGCATGAATTATAGTTAGTATCGTGATCCACTTCAGATTTGCCCCACACGCACCATCCTCATCTGCTCCCCAGTATACCTGCTCCAAAAGATAGAGAATACAATAGGCAAAATTCCCCCACCCCTACCAAGACATTTACAACCAAATTACTAGAACTTGTGAATATTTTATGTTACATGACAAAAAGGGACTTTACAAATGTAATTATGGTTATGGTAGACCTAAAAATGAGGAGAATGTACTGGATTACTCAAGTGGACCCAAAGGAAACATATAAGCCTCATATAGAGAGAATTATCTCTGGCTGGGAGCATGAGAGATGTGGCAGAATGAATATCAGTCTTCAAGTATGAGAAAAATCAGACATACAGTTGCTGAGTCTGAGATGCAGAGGCCTGTGGACAAGAACCAGAGGGTGGTTTCTAGAAGCTAAGAGCAGCCCCTAGCTGATAGCAAGGAAGGGGGAACCTCAGTCCTTCACCAGCAAGGAACTAGATTCTGCCAAAATCCTGCATGATCCTGAAAGAAGATCCTACCGTACAGCCATCAGATAATACCCCAGGCCAGTCAAAAGCCTTGATTTTGGCTTTTAGAGACCTAGAGCAGAAAAACCAGCTGAGCCCATCTGGAATCTTGACCCATGAAAACTATGAGAAAATAAGTATTAGCTGTTTAAATCACTATGTATGTAGTGATTTATTATTGCAACAGTAACAAACCAATACAGAGGATTCCCAAAAGTGATTCCTACAAAGGATTTAGGAATCTACAGCATGGCCACATCTATGCAGGGGAGGGGCTCGTGCCCACAAAGGTTGAAAAACATTTATTTTGATGACATTTTTCTCCAAGAAGAAAGCAAAACATTTATTTGAAGATTTTTCAGTGTTGCAGGTATTAAGGGATCCTGGGTAGAAACAATATCCCTCTCCCCATGTTAGGTAAGATAATAGATGAAAAAGACCTTTTAAGGTCAAGTGGGCTGTTTCTTAAGAACAGAATTATTAGGTAGTCTTGAACAGTGATGCTTTTAAGTAGAAATACATTTCAGAAGGTTTGAGTCAGAGAAACTCCCATCTCGGACTCATCCTGGTCCTCTCTTCTGACTGTAGCTTTTTCATGTATGCATTGATCCAGAAATGCATGAAATCATGCATTAAGATTTTCATTTATTCATTTGTCCATTAATGCAAGGTACTATGCTTAGTAAGGGAGAGACAAGGTTAAATTAAATGTAGTCCTAACCCTCCATAAGCTTACAATGAGGAGAGAGAGATATACATAAAATGATAACAAGCAGATATAAAGTGATAATCCTCATATACCATAAGCTTGTCACTTTACCAAAAATGATCCAGGCCATGCCTAGCACAGTTCTCTGTTTTAAACTTACCCTAACCCCTGTCATTCCATTCTGTATGTGTAGAGTCACTGAAATTGCAATCTCTCTCTCATCTTATGTTTACTATTGAAATCAGGACCCACTTAAATACACTTCTCTGTCTTGTCCTCATTCTATGAAGAGCACTTCTGTATTTTGGTCTGCCTAACTTGGGTCTCAGAATCTTACACTGAGAGCCAAAGAGCTTGAAAAATGAAATTACATATGGTAGGCAGAATCATAAAATGACCTCCTAACCTTAATTGCTAGTACAGAATATCATGACATACTATACCCTGATTATGATAAATGCCTTTATCATAATCATAAGTGCCTTTATCATCTCCTAGACAACTTTTGTTTGAACTAGCCAAATTGATCTTCTAAGCCCCATAACCCAGAGCAGCTCCCTCATGACAATCCCATTTTCCTCCGTGGTGCCCTGTCTGGCCAACTTGACACTAGGGAATCAGAACAAAGTCAGAAAATCAGACAAGGAACTCAGATCAGCACTACTATGGAGGGATGAAAGTTGAATGCTAAACATTCTAGGACTGGCTCTAATACCAGGCTGCTCACAGTGTAGGGTAACCAATCATCGTGATTACCTGGGACCATTCTGGGTTTTGCAATGTAAATCCTACATCTCAAGAAATTCGTTCCCAAGGTGGTAGAAGCCACAGCATTCACAGATGGATGTAGAAGGGCACCAGAAAAGCATAAAACACATACGGTAGCAAAAAGGAGGGGGAGGGAGCTGAAAGCAACACACTTTTTGGTGTCAAATGGATATGGCATAGATTATCTTTCATAGTTTATTTTTTCCCCTGACCAGTGATACTGGCAACCATAATTTGCAGTTAACATTGTTGCATTGCTCTGAGTATGTGACTTTAGTGTGCAATGAAAGTGCATCATAATCATGAGTGACAGTCCGTCTCTGATTGACTGAGAAAATGACTCATAGCTGTGCATCAAGATAGTGTTAGTTTAATGTTTAACATTGTGATCATGTTTTCTAAGTGTTCAAATAATAAAAAATAAAAACGATTACAATACTAGCGCCAGAACATTCAGATAGCAACAAAAAAGAAAATTAAACCACAGTGATCTTTTTATGATTGGAGGAAGGACATACACAACTGAATTAGGGAGGTAAATTATCTAAAGAGAGCATACAGCCAGGCATGGTGGCTCACACTTGTAATTCCAACACTTTGGGAGACTGAGGCAGGCAGATCACTTGAGGTCAGGAGTTTGAGACCAGCCTGGCCAACGTGGTGAAAAATACAAAAAATATCTGGGTGTGGTAGCACACATCTGTAATCCTAGCTACTCAGGAGGCTGAGGCAGAAGAATTGCTGGAACCTGGGAGGCAGGGGTTGCAGTAAGCCAAGGTCACGCCACTATGCTCCAGCCTGGGTGACAGAGTGAGACTCCATCTCAAAACAAAAACAAAAACAAAAAACAAGACAAAACAAAAAAAGACACTAAGGGAGCATTCCGTATATACACAACATACAGAGAGGAAAAAAAATCTGGAATTGGGAATGGAAAGAAAGAGATAGAATTTGTGAGACTGAAATTCACAAGCCCAGAATGAGACAGGTAAGTACACCTAAAATAATAAAAAGTTTTTAAATCTCCCCCAAAGACACCAGTGCCCAGTAGAAAACAGCAGTGGTTGAAATAGTCGGGAATATTCTATGAATGAACACACATTATCTTCTGGTTCTCTTGATTGCTCTAGTAAGTTACAGTTCTTGATTTCAGAGATTGCAACTAAATTGCCTTGTGGCAAACAAAACGGGACATTTTGACAACAGTTCAGAGAGCTTCTCACATACTAGTGCTGTTTTTGTTCTATCTTACCAATGATGTTTTCTATACTAAAAAAAAAGGTGATACAATGAATCACAGAAACAATTTGAAGTACTTTGATTTGAAAACTAGTTTCAAACTGTTTTCTTAATTTGTATGAACATTTTAATAAAACTGCAGAATAAATAAAACAAAATATGATTAATACCTTGTTTAAATACAAACTAGACTTTGCTCATCCATCTACATTTTTGGCAAACAGTACGATTATAAATTTTGGAAGATTTCTTCAGCCTGCAAATTTCTTACCAAAGAAAATGAAAAGGTCTACTAAAAGTCCAGCACACCTTATGCCCATGTAGAAGAAGTGTTATGATGTGTTTTCCTGAGAAAGTGATACTTTCATAAAGAAAGTTTATGACTTCTCAGTTCGCTCAAGATGTGCAGAAGCACTTCGTGAAATTTTTTACTTTATAAAATGGAAAGACAAACTCTCTTTAGATATGGGCCTGCAAGATGGCTATCGTTGTTACCTGCCAAGGAAAAGATGTTAAATGTTGACCTGCCACTATTTCCAAAGTTTGGAATAAAAGGAACATTCTTCTCTAATATGGAAATACACCAAGGATAAAAATGGAGAAAGGGGCCGGGCGCAGTGACTCACGCCTGTAATTCTAGCACTTTGGGAGGCCGAGGCGGGTGGTTCACCTGAGGTCAGGAATTTGAGACCATCCTGGCCAACATGGTGAAACCCCATCTCTATTAAAAATACAAAAATTAGCTGGGTGTGGTGGTGGGTGCCTGTAATCTCAGCTACTCAGTAGGCTGAGGCACGAGAATCGCTTGAACCCAGGAGGCAGAGTTTGCAGTAAGCCGAGATCATGCCACTGCACTCCAGCCTGGGTGACAAGAGTGAGACTTTTTCTCAAAAAAAAAAAAAAAAAAAAAAAAAATGGAGAAAGGATTACAGTAAAATAGAAATTTACTTATTGTTTCTCTAAAGCTGTTTGATGATCTTTGAAGAGGTGGTAAAGAACATGGAAAAGGATGGACTGCCTGGACCTGAGCTATTTAATGTTATATTAAATTGCAACAAAAATTCATACAGTAAAAAATAAACTCACAGTTTGGAAATAAGATTGCTTTACAAATTAAAAAAAAAAAAAAAAGAAGAAAAGAAAAGAAAAGACAGAAAGTCACCAGAAAAGGGAAGCCAAGTTAAATAGGAGTTTCTTAGTTTAACTAAAACTATAATTTATTTAAAATTCAGCCCACTTTCACAAACTCAAATTACCTAACTGCCTAAAACCATTTTCCCTGAGAAAGAGAGGTTTAACTTAGGATGACAACCAGTGTGCTTCGGAGTGCTTTAAAATGATGAACATTTTTAGGTGTGGATTGCCTGTATAGTGAATGTATAGATATTAAAGGACCTGATTAATAAACAAGTGGTCTATTAAAACATACCTGCAGATATAAAGTGGATTTATTTTTTTTGGAAATCAGGAAACAAGTTCCCATAAGTCTAAAAGTCCACTGTTGGAGGTAAGTAAAAGTCCTAACTATCCCATGCTCAAATACTTTTTTAGAGAGTATATTTAGCTTGATATCATCACAATAGAAAGACACCAGGTATCACTGAAATGTGGACTTTATATAAAAGCAGATCTGTAGGATAAAGTAAATTTTACATGGCTACATTTAGTTTTCCATCACATTAAATAAATGTAAGGTGTCCTGAAGGCTGCAGGAAGTTTAGAGAAGTATTATTAGAAAAAGAAACAAAAAGAATAAAAATATCCTACTGTAATATGGGACAGGTAGAAACACGTCATTGTTATTTTTTTCTTGAATATAGGTCATATCTGTTTTAATTAGTGCTATTGGTCCTATGAGTTCTATTAATAATGTACTTCACAGGACTCTTGAATGCTCTCATATAAAGAAATATTACATTTTTGTACATTTGTGTAATTTTTGTATGTATTAATGTAGATGATAAAATATAAAATTCTGATACAGAGTTTAAAAGTACTAAATTTCTGTACCAAACAACAAAAAGAAACATTATAAAAAAAATTGCTATAGTTTTCTAGGCACAGTATTTGGTTAATTAGTCATACTATTAATTACTGCTAATTGCCACTATTATTTTCGTTGCTGTTTTAACAATAGCATTTACGTAATAGGAAAAATGTATGTAAAGAGTAAATACGCAATTTTAGGTGAACACTTTACTTTTTCATATTTTTATGTGAAAGTAAGAACATACACTATATGTATATAATTATGTGTTTTTTAAATTATCAATATCATTATCATTATGATTCATTTTTTGTCGGGTATCACTGTGTCCTTGATTGACTCTCTAAAAAGTTGGTCACAGTACAGAAAAGTCATCTGTGCAGCTTTTAAAAACAAAGATTCTCAGGCCCCACACCTAGAGTAATGGATGGGTAATAAAGGGTAGGGATTTGTATTTTAAAAAGCACACAAGTAATTCCAATATATAGCCTAGGTTGGGAAGCACTGTGGTATTTCCCTGGAGGTTGAAGAATTGTTAGAGTTTTATTTCAGATTCAGTAAGTTTTTTACTCAAATGACAAAATGGCAGCACTATATATGAAATATGAAAATATTAACAATTTGCATTTGACGCCAACTTCCTCAGTGTTAGGGTTTTACCTTTATCTTTGTCTGCTTGGTGACAAGGCAGACAAAGGCTAGATATCATCTTTGGTGAGATGTAGCTGGCAGGAGGGAGATGGTGGAGGGAGTGGTAGGAACACAGATGGCCAACTGCCTGTACGTAGATCCAGGCTTTACTATTCACCAGTAGCAGGGCTGTGGGCAAGTGAATTTTTGTTAACCTTATTTTTCTTAACTATATGATGAAGATAACAGATTGTACTCAAAATGTTACAGTGCCTGGAACTTTAAAAATGTTCCATAAATATAAACTAAATAAAGGAAAAGGACAATTGGAATTCATTCTCTTTATTGTTCAGATTCCAGTCTCCAGATGGAAACCCAGTAGAACTAGGAATTACTTTTTTAGTGGAAAAATGTCTAGATCTGGGATATACAGGGTAGGAAAATAGAAAATATAGCCATCGTATGGCTTCACATTTCTCACTTCTTATTTGACCTTGAGCCATCTGAGCCCTGGTTTCAATCACTTTACATTGAAATTTTAATATCTTTTTCACAGGACTCCTCTGAATCAAAAACAAAAATGAAAAAGATTTGAAAAAAGTGCTAATGAATATTAAAATGCTAGGTAAATAGAAGATAATATTGCCTTCTTCATATGTGAGTTCAAAAGTATTGCTTGCATTTGTAACGCTGACATATATGAATTAGAAATTATAAAGCTGAAAATATGGACTGAAAATAAAGTTTTGCTAGAGCTTGGATAGTTTTATAAATTTGTTTTACTTTTTATACAGTGTTTACACTTAGAAAAGAATAAGGGTTGTGATTCTCATATTATTGATAATGCTTGATGTAGTCTGATGGAAAAAGAAAGAATTCTGTCAATCTCCTGAGATCTATGATGTTTTTCTTTCACGTTGTAATTCCTGTTTTCCTTCTGTATTTGACTGATAATGTACATTGTACCTTGTACCTCGATAACTATTCCATGCTGACTGAACACTAATGAATCAAGATTGTGAACAGGAACTCACAAATTAGAGAACTATCATTTAAGCTCATTCAAATTTCTAAACTTGACGGCAAATGCTCACAACTGGGTGAGCAGTGAAACAGTCCAAATGTTACACTACTAGAAAGATAATTAAGCTGAGAATCAAAATTTTAGGATATTTCTCCCAAACACTCACAGGTCCTTAATTCTGGAGCCCAAGGGAGAAACAGTGGCTAGCAGCAGATGTCTTCTTATAAGGGTTGGCAGCCTATTTTCTAAGCCTTACAAAGGTTGAACACTATAATCAAAATGCCTAATGTATCATCGAAAAGCATTTTTTGACCATAGAGTTGACGTTTCTTTACTAAGAAATCTACTAAGGACCTCAGTAAAAGTCCAATTGTAAGTCTAGTTGTGCCACAGCAGAACAGAATCATGCTAGAGAAATGCAACACTCTCCCAAATCTTTGACACATTATATAAGTGGTCTTGGGCTAAAAGCTTTATAGGTTTAAAATCTTTTAATACTGCAGAATTATGGAAGAGAAAAAATATTATTATTTTGTAAAATAAAGTTCTTCTGGAAGCCAGCTCCACATAGATGAGATATTTTTATTACATACCTGTTAAATTTCTATAATTGGTGGGTTTTGATGAAGAAGCAGCTTAACCTCCATGACAACATTTACTGCGTTTTGCCTCAGAGGAATTGCTACCATTTTTTCCCAAAGTAAATGTGTATGTGTGTGTGTGTGTGTGTGTGTGTGTGTGTGTGTGTGTATACCACATCTGTACTTTTCACAATAAACCTGCATGAGAGATATAATTACCTTTAGAATACAGATAAGAAAACCAATATTCAGGTCGTGTGACTATGTGACTTATTCCAGTGCAAATGCAAGTAATACGTGATTAAAACAGAAGTTAAATTCAAGTCTATGTGAACCTCTGGCTAAAATGGTGGCATATAGGCAGTTTTACTTTATTCTCCATCAGAACTCTCCAGGAACGTAAAAGTAAGAAAATAGAACAGATGCAGTGGCTCACACCTATAATCCCAACACTTTGGTAGGCCAAGCAGGGAGGATTGCTTGAGGCTAGGAGTTCCAGACTAGCCTAGGCAATATATGGAGACCCTGTGTGTACAAAGAATTTAAAAATTAGCTGGACATGGTAGCACTGTAGTCCCAGCTTCCAGGGAGGCAGAGCCAGGAAGATGGCTTGAACCTAGGAGTTTGAGGCTGAAATGCACTATGATTGCACTACTGCACTCCAGCCTGGGCAAAAGAGCAAGACCTTATCTCAAAAACAAACAAACAAATAAACAAAAACACCAAAAGGATGAAATACAGAGGAAAATATAGCAACACTATTTTGAATCAAACAAAGAAACGATACGAATGTCAAATCAAACATAAAAAGCATTACGTGTCAGATGTCTTGAAATTTGGGCCAATAAGAGGGGGCATCAAGCCCTGAAGCATACCTTCTCAGAACTTGAGCAAGATATAGTTTTTTACATAATAGGTGCTGTGGTCCTAAAATGCCCATTCAAAAATTATCCGATCAAAGTGGTGAGCTCTAGAGACACGGATGGACCACAGGAAAAGACAAACAATGCATCTATAGAGACCAAATTTCATCTAGAATGTCAGGGAGGTAAAGCTGACGGAGGAGGGCAGTGCCAAGCCTTTTTCTGTGGACAATCTAGCCTCCTGACTGAGGGAAATGTGGAGGGGAGGCACAGCCACCGTTAAGATGGCAGCTTACCAGGTTGTTCAGGGAGTTGGTTTATGTATGAGGTGAATACTTGCATATGGTCTAGAGTTTGTTGTTGTTGTTTTGAGTCACTTTTGGCCTATAGGACTCCTCCTTGCAGACAAGTGTAGGTATAAACACTACGATTCTCCGGAACTTAGGAGCATTGATGTATGTCTGAGAAACAGATGGTTTTACTCTCAGTCCCTTTGCTAGCACACTTTAGGCTTCACGGACATAAGGAATGAGTGCCCAGCACTAGAGCCACACCCGATACTTAACTGGTATTGAACAAGCATTTGTAAAACTAAACTGAAAACAAATAACAGAACTCTGCCATTTTAACTGAGAATCCTCAGTGATGAAACTGTGAGTTGGCAGTGACTATCAATTATACCTTTTTGGAAAGTTAATACTTATTAGCATTAAACTGGCCCATCATGAGTACTTAATTTACATATTAATGACTGAATAAGGACACTTTGGAAATGCTTAGACATTGTTTTACTCTGATTTCATTTTAACTTTGTTGGATCCTTTCACACTGTACTAAGAATGTCTTTTTTTCTCTTATTTAAATGATTTTTATCATGAGCAAGGTAAACAGAATCAGTGGACTCTAAGCACTAACTGCTTAGCCAAGAGTTATGAAAATGACCAGAGCATATATACACTTGTTAGTGATGGGGTGAGTAGTTACTCTGAACCTACTACTTGCTGATATAATCTCATTTATTCCTCAAAACAACCTTGCATTGTCAGGCTTATTTATCTATCTTAAAAACTGAAAAACTCAGATGCCGAGTGGCTTGTTTGAGCTCACGTAGTTAGTAAACGGCAGTGTTGAGAATGCTTGGATCACTGAATTCAAAGCTGAGTTCCATACAGGTTAGTGCTTTCCACAGTGAGTTACCTATAAAACGATAGCTACATTTGAATTAATTAAAATGTGGGATGAAGTCAGAAAATAAATATAAAAAGTGTAGCAATTACGTTCATTCCTCATGGGTCATTTCCCAAAGAAGAAAATGTCATGAAATTATTTTAAAGCAGAGATCAATAAAATAAGACATCGAAAAAGAAATACTCTTCTGAGATTTTATGTTGCAATCACATTAACATTCTCCCATGAAGAGGAATAAGGAAGATAACAGCTATATCTATTTAAGATATCTATATATTTTTTAGATATAGGTATCTATATCTATATCTAAAAAATTATGTAGTATCCACAAATAATGAAATTGCTTAATAAATCTCCACATTTAATTATCTTTCTACATTGTAGTCAATTTTCATCTTTGAACTATATTTCATGAAGCATATAAACATTCGACTTCATCTGAAAGGTCTCTTAAATTAAGCACCAATATCTTGACTCTCTCTGAAGACTTAAATACCACAATTTAAAAAGAGAAATACACTAATACGAAATAGACTTTCTTTGCATAGTCAATGAATCATGCTGGAAAAGTAAACAATGCATTTTGATACTTTTTACCTCAAATATGACTTCAGTCATGGCAGTGACAGGATAGACAGGACATTTCAGTACAATTCCAGATGAGCAGCACCACCCCTTTCCAAATATTCACCTCTAATAGTCATTTTTATTATCCAATCTGACAGCACAGGCCCACGAAGTTCTGAAATTTCTTATTCACAGCTAGTTTAATCTGACCTTTGATATAACTGAATGAGCTGTATAACAATATTGAACAACAAGAAAAATCAACCAAAAGCAAAGAGACCTAAAGTTTATTTAAACCGTATGTCTTTTCTGTTGATAAATGGTTTGTTTCCATATGGCCCTATTAATCATTTATTGATTCATGTAGAAAATATCTATTGAATGTCTAGGGCATTCAGACACTAGAAAAACAATAAAAACACAAGTTGCTTCCCTTCATTAAGCATACAGTTGTAATGGAAAAATAATTGTCAAATACTAATTTTTATCCTGATCATTTCTTCCCCTTTTCATCACCATCCTCAATGTAAGTGGTTAGCACATTCTGGGTTTATTACACATGCAGAAGCGTATCACCAGGCCAAAAAATGGCTATCCATGGGTTTCAAAACTTTTTTTTTCTTTTTTTTTCAGACAGAGTTTCACTCTTGTTGCCCAGGCTGGAATGCAATGGCATGATCTCTGCTCTCCGCAAGCTCCACCTCCCGGGTTCAAGGGATTCTCCTGTCTCAGCCTCCCAAGTAGCTGGGATTACAGGCACCTGCCACCATGCCCGGCTAATTTTGTATTTTTAGTAGAGACGGGGTTTCTCCATGTTGATCAGGCTGATCTCAAACTCCCGACCTCAGGTGATCCACCCGCCTCAACCTCCGAAATTGCTGGGATTACAGGCGTGAGCCACCGTGCCTGGCCAGGTTTCAAAACTTCTAAATCCCAGAGAGGAAGGCAAAGGCCTACCTCTTGCTGTCCCCACTCCTCCACCTGTAGAATCTGGCAAAACATCACTATCTTCTACCCAGAGCCTCCCTAACTAGTATTCCTGCCTCTATCCATGTTGCTTGAAAGTCCGTTCTCCATATGTGGGTAATCCTTATAAAGTTAAGCATATCATGTCACCCCTTTGTTCAAACCCCCTCAGTTTCTTCCCATCAACACGGAGTAAAATCCAAAGAACGTGTAATGGCTGACAAGGCCCTCTACATTCTCCCTCTTCCCTCTCTGAGCTCATATGCATTTCTTCACTGCCTCTGGGTTACTGAAAGGTTACAATATGACAAGCCATCTTCAGAAAGAAGTAAAGATCAGGGAGGAAACACCTTTCTCTGGGGCCATATTCTGTAAAACACGTTATTCTTTAGTGGCTGATAAGCAATTTTAAGTATCTTAGCAAGAAACAAGACAGGAGGATCTTTTTAGCTTTTCCTAACTCTAATCTGTGAATACTGCCTCTGACAGACAAGGCAAAGAAAACTGGACTTTTAGGATGAGAATGTATTCCTTGATTTAGAGATTAAAGTTTAGGCTCTGTATAGACTGTTCCCAACCCATGTTTTTTATATGTTATTTGTGAAATATGCTTTTCTTCTTAGTCCTAAGTAATAAAAGATAGTCCTAGTGTCATACTGGCCCTGACATGTTCTTTCCCAATTGCCATTCAAGCTACCCCAACATGTATTGGCTGATACTCACCATGTGTTAGGTAGAGTGCTAGACACTGGGTATAGAAGAATGAATCAGAGAAAACCTCCACCTCTAAGGGGCACATGCATTCTGCTGGCAGAGGTGGAGCCTTTGGCATCACCACTGCTTTGGTTACAAAGCATTGTGAAAATATCAAGGCCTAGAAATTAAACTTAAGCATGTGTACTCTTAAACAAGTCACTTGACTTCTCTTAGCTTTAGTTTCATCATTCACCAAAGGCTATGTGAGGATTTTATGATCAGTTTTACATAGCGATCCTAGTTTACTGGTTGCACATCATAAGTACTCAAGCAGAGGTAGCTATTTTTCAAATGGATGAGAAGTGTTTCATAGTATTTCTATGACTTCAGACTCCTATGCAGAGCCAGCCTACACATGGATAATTAACTCAGAAATGCTCAGTTTGGAAGCAAATTAAGGCTGAGGTAGGGCTATGGCAGTGGTGGGAGTCAGGAAGTAAACAGAAAGAGTACATGTCAATACAAATTCTAGATCAACTTTTGTGTTTTTGGAGAATGGCTTTATTTTCAACTTTTTAATGGTCTTTTAATATTTATGAAGGTTAGTAAGCAAATCAATTGATCTTAGCCATTATGACAGAGCCAAGTGATATGGTTTGGCTGTGTCCCCACACAAATCTCATCTTGAATTGTAGCTCCCATAATCCCCACATGTGGTGGGAAAGACTCGGTGGGAGGGAATGAAATCATGGGGGTGGGTTTTCCTGTGCTGTTCTCATGATGGTGAGTGGGTCTCAAGAGATCTGATGGTTTTATAAAGGGGAGTTCCCCTCCACAGGCTCTCTTGCCTGCCACCATGAAAGATGTTTCTTGCTTCCCCTTTGCCTTCCGCCATGATTGTGAGGCTTCCCCAGCCATGTGGAACTGTGAGTCCACTAAACCCCCTTTCCTGTATAAATTACGGTCTCAGGTATATCTGTATTAGCAGCATGATAAAAGACTAATATAGTACATTGGTACTGGGTAGCAGGGTGCCGCTATAAAGATACCCAAAAATGTGCAAGTGACTTTGGAAATGGGTAACAGGCAGAGGTTGGAACAATTTGGAGGGCTCAGAAAAAGACAGGAAAATGTGGGAAAGTTTGGAACTTCCTAGAGACTTGTTGAATGGTTTTGACCAAAATGCTGATAGTGATATGAACAATAAATTTCAGGCTGAGTTGGTATTAGAAAGAGATGAGGAACTTTTGGGGAACTGGAGTAAAAGTCACTGTTGCTATGCAAAGAGACTGGTGGCATTTTGCCCCTACCCTAGAGATCTGTGGAACTTTGAACTTGAAAGAGATAATTTAGGGTATCTAGTGGAAGACATTTCTAAGCAGCAAAGCATTCAAGAAGAAGCAGAGCATAAAAGTTTGGAAAATTTACAGACTGAGATGCAATAGAAAAGAAAACCTTATTTTCTGAGGAAAATTCAAGCAGGCTGCAGTAATTTGCATAATTAAAGAGGAGCCAAATGTTAATCACCAAGACAAAGGGGAAAATGTCTCCAGAGCATGCCAGAGACCATGGCAGCCCCTCCCTTTGCAGACCTGGAAGCCTAGGAGGAGAAAATGGTTTCCTGGGCCAGGTCCAGGCCCCACCCTGCTCTATGCAGCTTTGGGACATGGTGCCCTACATCCCAGTTGCTTCAGCTCCAGCCGTGGCTAAGAGTCCAACATACAGCTCAGGCTGTTTCTTCAGAGGGTGTAAGCCTCAAGCCTTGGCAGTTTACACATGGTGTTGGGTCTGTGAGTTTACAGAAGTCAAGAACTGAGGTTTGGTAACCTCCACCTAGATTTCAGAGGATATATGGAAATGCCTGGATGTCCAGGCAGACGTTTGCTGCAGGGGTGGGGCCCTCATGGAGAACTTCTGCTAGGCCAGTGTGGAAGGCAAATGTGGGGTTGGAGCCCCCACACAGAGTCCCCACTGGAGTATTGTCTAATGGAGCTGTGAGAAGAGGGTCACCATCCTGAAGACCCCAGAATTGTAGATCCACCAATAGCTTACACCATGAACATGGAAAAGCCATAGACACTCAACACCAGACTGTGAAAGCAGCCAGGAAGGGGGCTGTACCCTGCAAAGCCACAGGGGCAGAGCTGCTCAAGACCATGGGAGCCTAACTCTTGCATCAGCATGACATGGATATGAGACATGGAGTCAAAGGAGATCATTTTGGAACTTTAAGATTTAATGATTGCCCTACTGGATTTTGGACTTGCATGGGGCCTGTAGCCCTTTGTATTGGCCAATTTCTTCTATTTGGAATAGATGTATTTGCCTAATGCCTGTACCACCATTGTATCTAGGAAGTAACTGACTTGCTTTTGATTTTGCAGGCTGATAGGCAGAAGGGACTTGTCTTGTGTCAGAAGACACCCTGGACTTGGATTTCTGAGTTAATGCAGGAGTGAGTTAAGACTGGGGGACTGTTGGGATGGCATAATTGGTTTTGAAAGTGAGGACATGAGATTTGGGAGGGGCCATGGGTGAAATGATATGGTTTGGCTCTGTGTCCCCACCCAAATCTTATCTTGAATTGTACCTCTCATAATTCCCATGTGTCATGGGAGGGACTGGGTGGGAGGTAATTGAATCATGGAGGCAGGTTTCCCCATGCTGTTATCATGACATTGAGTAAATCTCCCAACATCTCAAGGTTATATAAAGGGGAGTTCCCCTGCACACACTCTCTTGCCTGCCACTATGTAAGATATTTCTTGCTTCCCCTTTGCCTTCCTCCATGATTGTGAGGCCTCTGCTGTCATATGGAACTGTGAGTCAATTAAACCTCTTTCCTTTACAAATTACTCAGTTGCAGGTATGTCTTTATTAGCAGTGTCAGAACAGACTAATACTCCAAGTGTCAAGTCAACCATTTTAAAATCCAACCACTCTTTGTATACAAACACAATACAGGTAGCATATCCCTCTGCTTCTAGCTACTTTACTTGAATTTTATTGAGAAATATCCTTCAGTAAGAAAAGGAAGGAAAGTAAAATTATATGCACAACATATCTTGGTGCAATGGTGCTCTTTTCACTTGACATCAGACATATCTTGAGGCATGTGGGGTACCCACTCTTCTAGATTAGGTGTTTAGGTTTCTCTCCTTTCCAGTGCAGAGAACTTGGGGAAGAGGAAATTTTTTAGCTCCACGCCTAGGCGCAACTCTGAGTGCTTGGTGGCCACCCACTGAACACCCTCACCCAGAGAATTGGTGCTTGTACTTGCCATCAGGGGACCTGTTAAGCCAGCCTGCCCTGTCTGTCACACCCATCTTGGTTCTCCCCCTGGGACTGAGCAGGGAGCTCAGACCACTGTGCACTCTATGGATCTGCCCAATGCCTGAGGCAACAGGGAGCTTCTCCCAGTAAATAATGATCAGGTGTATACCCGTCCACATTGGCCACAGCCTACTCTTACCCATAACAACCTGGAGACTGAATGGTGCAACACGACAGGAAATCCGCTGATATAAGCACACAGCTCTGGGGAATGAGACAAACTTCCTGAGACCACTGACACTTCAGCCCCACAGGAGGCAATGAGCCTCCTCCCATGCCCAGTACATTGCTACTACAACCAGCATTTGGGAAAGCCACCACAAAAAGGCTATCTATAACCAAGGAACTTATACAGACTCTTTGACATTGAAAATGCCTAGAACTGGAGATCTAAACCTTGGCATGGTCCACCCCTAAGGGAAGGGGGAGCACAGCCCACAAAAGCCTCCCTTAGGTCAAAGGAAAACAAGCACAGAACCATGTGCTGAAGGCAGTACCACCAAAGCCCAGAAACAGATGTGGAGAGGGGTTCATCTCCCACCTCCCTACTCCCTGCCTCAGTGCAATGTTGCGGACTCGGCAATGGCTCTTCCTCTCAGGGTCTGAGGAGTGTGAAATGGAAAAGGTCACTTCCTGGGCTTCTAGAGCAGCTCCATCCCCACTGAAGGCAAATGTGCAGGGAGAAGGCCCTTTTCACACATCTCCTTTGCTTCTTCCCCCACCCCTAACCACTTTTATTCTTAAGTACCACCTTCTGGAATGCAGCCTGAATTACACCATCAAACAAAATTCCTACTACAAGCAACGTCTCAGAAAGCCACTGAATAAAACTATTTGCAACCAAGGAATACTTATAAAGCCTTACAGAGCATCCTGAAGCAAAGCCAATTGATTTTACAAAGTATGTTCAACAGTCATACTCCTAAGGAAAAAAATAATAAAATATGAAGCTGCATCCAAATGATAGCAAATTCAAAAAAAGACAGCTTTCTCATATGAGATGAAACCAGTGCAAGAACTCTGACAACACAGAAAGCCAGCGTGTTTCATCACCTCCAAAGGATCCCACTGTCTCCCAAGCAATAAATCCTAACCAGAATAAAATGTTCAAAATTACAGATGTAGAATTCAGAATGTGGATAGCAAAGAAACTCAACGAAATCCAAGAGAAAGTGGAAATCCAACATGAAGAAGCCAGCAAAATGATCCAAGATTTGAAAGACGACATAGCTATATTAAGAAAGAACCAAACAGAATTTCTGGAATTAAAAAACTTACTACAGGAATTTCAAAACACAATTGGAAGCCTTAACAACAGACTAGACCAAGAAAAAGAAAAATTTTAAAACTCAAAGACTAGTCCTTCAAATCAATGTAGTCAGATAAAAATAAAAATAAACAATTTAAATGAACAAAGCCTTTGAGAAATATGAGATTATGTAAAGCAGTTCAAATGTATGACTTATTGGCATGCCTGAGTCAGAAGGAGAGAAAGTAAGCAACTTGAAAAACATATTTGAGGATATAATTCTGAAAAATTTCCCCAATCTTGTTAAATAGGTCAACATGAAGAGATAGGAAATCAAGAGAACTCCTGCGAGATACTATACAAGAGGATCTTCCCCAAAGCATAGTCATCAGACTCTCCAAGGTCAACACAAAAGAAAAACATCTTATACGCAGCTAGAGAAAAGGGTCATATTACTTATAAAGAAAAACCTATCAGATGAGCAGTGGATCTCTTAGAAGAAACCTAAATGCCAGAAGAGACTGGGGGCTCGTTTTTAGCATTGTTAAAAAAAATGCCAGCCAAGAATTTTATATCTGACAAAAACTAAGCTTCATATATGAAAGAGAATTATAGTCTTTCCCAGAAAAACAATTGCTTAAGGAATTTGTCACTACCAGATTGGTCCTACAAGAGATGCTTAAAGGAGTTCTAAACATGGAAGTGAAGTAATGATACTTGCAAAAGGACATGCAATGCATAACCCATGGACCCTGTAAAGCAACTACACAATCAGGACTATAAAATAACCCACTAACACTAGGAATAAAACTTCACATATTAATATTAACCTTGAACATAAATGGCCTAAATGCCCCCACTTAAAAGATATAGAATGGGAAATTGTATAAAAAACAAGACCCATCCTACTCACTATAGGAGACCCATCTCACATGTAACATCACCTGTAAGCCCAAAGTAAGGGGATAGAGAAATATCCATTACACAAATGGAAAACAAAAAAGAGTAGGGGTCACTATTCTTGTATCAGATAAAATAGACCTTAAAATACAAGGTGTGGGCGGGGGGAGGGATAGCATTAGGAGATACACCTAATGCTAAATGACGAGTTAATGGGTGCAGCACACCAACATGGCACAAGTACACACATGTAACAAACCTGCACGTTGTGCACATGTACCCTAAAACTTAAAGTATAATAATAATAAAATTAAAAAAATAAATAAAATAAAATATAGGGAGGCATTACAGTGAAAAGATATTCATCATACCATTATAATGCCCAGCAACAGGAGAATAGTTAAATAAATTCTTGACTCTATTGTGAGGTCTTCAGCCTTTAAAAAACAACAACAACAACAACAAAAAATACGAAAACCACATTACACAATGATAAAGGGTTCATTTCAACAGGAAGATTTAACTAATCTAATTATACATGTAGCCAACATTGGAGCACTCAGATTATAAAGCAATTACTTCTAGAACTAAGGAAAGACTTTGAAAGCCACACAATAATACTGGTGGACTTCAACACTCCTCTGACAGCATTAGATAGAACATCAAGGCAGAAACAAACAAACAAACAAACAAAATTATAGACTTAAATTGACACTTGAACAATTGTATCTAACAGACGTCTACAGAATACTCCCTCCAACAACCAAAGAATATACATTCTTCTTACCTGCACACAAAACATACTTTAAGGTTGACCACACGCATGGTCTTAAAGCAAGTCTCAGCAAATTTTTTAAAAAATCAAAATCATAGCAAGCATTTTCTCAGGCCACAGTGGAATAAAAATATAAATCAATACCAAGAGAAAATTTCAGAATCACGAAAATACAGTGAAACTAAACAACTGACTCCTTAATGAGTTTTGGGCAAACAACAAAATTAAGGCAGAAATAGAAAAGCTCTTTGAAACAAGAGATAATAGAGACACAACATACCAGTACCTCTGGGATATGGCAAAAGCAGTGTTAATAAGCAAGTTTATAGCACTAAATGCCTACATCAAAAAGATACAAAGATCTCAAATTAACAATCTAGCCTTGCCCCTGAAAGAACCAGAAAACAAGAACCCCAAAGCCAGCAGAAGAAAAGAAATAACTAAAATAAGAGCATAAATAAATGAAATTAAAACTTCAAAAAATATATACAGGTCAATGAAAAGTTTTTTTAAAGGATAAACAAGATTGATAGATTACTAGCTAGATTAACGAAAAAAGAGAGAAGATCTAAATAATCAGAATTAACAAAGGCGACATCACAACTGATTCCACAGATTACAAAAGATCCTCAGAGACCGCTATGAACACCTCTATGTACACAAACTAGAAAATCCAGAGAAAATGGATAAATTCCTGGAAACACACAAACTCCTGATATTGAACGAGACAGAAATCCTGAACAGACCAATAAAGAGTAATAAAATTGAATTAGTAATAAACATCTACCAACCAAAAACAGTCCTGGATCAGGTGGATTCATAACCACATTCCACCAGAAATACAAAGAGAAGCTGGTACAATCATTCTGAAACTATCCCAAAACACTGAGGACAAGGGACTTCTCATTAACTCCTTTTCTGAGATAAGTACCTTCCTGACACCAAAATCCAGCAAAAATATACGAAAAAAAGAAAACTACAGGTCAGTATCCCTGATGAACATAGATGCAAAAGTCCTCAGCAAAATACCAGCAAACTGAATCCAGAGGTACATCAAAAAGTTAATTCAAAACAACCAAGTGAACTTTATTCCTGGGATGCAAGTATGGTTCAATGTATGCAAATCAATAAATGTGATTTGCCACATAAATAGAATTAATAACAAAATTATATGATCATCTCAATAGATGCAGAAAAAGAATTTTATTAAATCCAACATCCTTTTATGATAAAAACCCTCAAGAAACTAAGCATAGAAGAGATATTCCTCAAAATAACAAGAGCCATCTCTGTCAAATCCACAGCCAACGTCATACTGAACAGACAAAAGCTGGAAGCATTCCCTCTCAGAAGTGAAACAAGACAAAGATGTCCACTCTCACCACGCCTATTCAACGTAGTACTGGAAATCTCTTCATAGCCAGAGAAATCAGGCAAGAGAAACAAAGGCATCTAATTAAAAAAGAAGAAGTCAAATTATCTCTCCTTACTGGTGAAATGATTCAACACCTAGAAAATCCTAAAGATTCTGCCAACAGACTCCTAGACCTCATAAATGACTTCAGCAGGGTCCCAGGATGCAAAATCAATGTACAAAAATTAGTAGCATTTCTATATGTCAGTTACCTTCAAGTTGAGAACTCAATTAAGAGCACAATTTCATTTCCAATAGCCACAATAAATAAATAAATAAATAAATAAATAAATAAATAAATAAATAAATGCTTAGGAATATACTTAACCAAGAACATGAAAGATCTCTATGAGGAGAACTACCAAACACTGCTGAAAAAAAATGGCAGATGACAGAAACAAATGGAAAAGTATTTACTGCTCATGGTTTGGAAGAATCAGTATTATTAAAATGTTCCTACTACCCAAAGAAATCTACAAAATCAATGCTATCCTTATCAAATTATCAACATCATTTTTCACTGAATTAGGAAAAATTATTCTAAAATTAATACAGATTTACAAAAGAACCTCAATAGCCCAAACAATCCTAATCAAAAAGTACAAAGCTGGAGGTCAATTCAAACTATACTATAAGGCTACGGTGACGAAAACAGCATGGTACTGGTACAAAATCAGTCACACAGACCAATGGAATAGAATGGAGAACCCAGAAATAAAGCTGCACACCTATAGCGATCTGATCTTTGACAAAGTCAACAAAACTATGCAATGAGGAAAAAATCTTCTATTCAATAAATGGTGCTGGGAAAACTAGCTAAGCATACGCAGAAGAATGAAACTGGATCCCTACCTCTCACTGTATACAAAAACTCACTCAAGATGGACTAAAGGCTTAAATGTAAAACCTCAAACTGTAAAAATTCTAGAAGAAAACCTAAGAAATACTTTTCTAGACATTGGCCTAGGGAAATAATTTAAGACTAAGTCCCCAAAAGCACTTGAAACAAAATCAAAAATAGACAAATGGGACTAAATTAAAGTGTTTCTAAACAGCAGCGAAAGAAACTCTCAACAGAGCAAACCGACAATCCATAGAATAGGAGAAAATATTTGCAAACTATGCATCTGACAGAAGACTAATATAAAAAATCTACAAGAAACCTAAATCAGTCAACAAGAAAAAAAAACTTCATTAAAAAGTGGGCAAAGAGCATGAACAGACACTTCTTAATAGAAGACATACAAGTGGACAACAAACATGAAAAAAATGCTCAACATCACTAATCATCAGAGAGATGTAAATCAAAACCTCAGTAAGATATCATCTCACACCTATCAGAATGTCAATTATTAAAAAGTCAAACAATAACAGATATTGATGAGGTTGCAGAGAAAAGGAATGCTTATCCACTGCTCGTAAGAGTGCAAATTAGTTTAGCCCATGTGGGAAGCAATTTAGAGATTTCTCAAAGAACTAAAAATACAACTACCATTTGACCCAGCAATTCCATTATTGAGCACATCCCCTGCTGCCCAGCAAAAAAAAAAAAAAAAAAAAAAAGTCTACCAAAAAGACATACGCACTTGTATGTTCATTGCAGTACTATCTACAATAGCAAAGACATGGA
Organism: Homo sapiens; assembly: GCF_000001405.40. Lineage (NCBI taxonomy): Eukaryota > Metazoa > Chordata > Mammalia > Primates > Hominidae > Homo > Homo sapiens. The sequence continues at coordinate 80,412,140 of NC_000011.10, forward strand.
GTCAACCTAGTGCCCAGCAGTAGTGGACTGCATTACAAAAATTGTGGTATATATATACCATGAAATATTACACAGCCATAAAAAAGAAAAAAGTCATGTCGTAGCAAAGGTGGGAAATGGCTGAAAAACATTCTGTTGGACACTATGTCCACTATCTGAGTGACAGAAACAATAGGAGTCCAAACCTTAGCATCACATTATATAACCTTATAACAAACCTGCACATGTACCCCTGAATCTAAAATAAAAATGGCAATTAAAAATATAAATTTCAAAATAAAATAAATCACATAAAATTATTTGCATAGCTTGTCATGTGTCCAATATGTACAAAGAACATTTTTCATAGTCTCCATTAATCCTCAAAACAACATTGTATAATGTCACAATTACAGATGAAGACTCAGGTACAAAGCAGTGAATATGTTGCCACAGGTCGCAGAGGTAAAATGGACCAGACCCAGGCGGTCAGGCGTTCTTTCTTTACGGAGAACTGCCACTTCTTAAGGCCAGACAGAGCTCAAGTCAGATGTTCTGCAGGAGATCCAACATCATTCTTATCACCTACTCTTCAGGAAACCACTTGACTTTCAACTTAGTTTCCTGAGTGAGTACTGTAGCAAAAAATAAACACTGGGAATTCTGGATTGGCCCTTAGTCTCCAAACAGCAGTACCTCCCAGTGAAAAGGCACAGTAGCACCCTGGAAGAGAGATAAGTCTGTTGCTTTAGGTGGTTGAGAGTTCTGGGAACTGATAACGTTCAAATTATCAGCATCTGCTAAGCTGATGATGTCACATAGGTACTTTCACACTTAAAACCCTGGTTTGAACAATTTAAACGGCTTTTCTCCTTACAAGACTTCAGAGCTTTTAATATGTTCAAGTGCACTTCACAAAGTTTTTTGTATTCTTTATCTGAAGAGATTAGCATTCCACTGAAGATATTTTAGAAGCAATTTTAATAATAATGATAATCAAAATGAAAGTAACAAAATAAGTTCTAGTCAGTTTTCTTATTCATTAGTAGTTATTATATATGATAATCAATGTGTATATTAAAATGTAATTATATATTTTATAAAATATATATACATATTCAAGTGTCAATATAAAGATGAGGACAGCAACACCCATAACAGTTACTTATTGAGCCTTATCTACTTGACAAAAACTGTGTTAACTCCTCATCCTCATGAAAATTTTGTGCTGAGTAGCATCAAATACTAAGAAACAATATTACTGATAGGAGCAAGGACTCTGAAGCTGAGCTCCTGCATTTAAACCCCAACTCTGTCTTTATCTAACCTTGCACAAGGTACTGGTCTCCCCATATTTCAATCTCTTCATCCATACAGTTGGTATAATAATGCTTACAGAAACTATATATATTCATCCCATTTTGCAAATGAGGAAACAGACAGAATAAAATTGTCATTAAATGGAGACAAGTGAGAGGCAACTGTCCTTCAAGAAAAAATCTGGATCTTAGAACCAGAAGGCCTAGAACTCAGCTTTGCCAAGCACTAGCTACATGGTCCTTGGCATACAAGGCTTCTAAGTTTCCCTTACAGGTAAAATCAAGTTGATACTTGCCCCCCCACCAGCACATACACACTATATGCCATAAGTGTGGATTAAGTGAGAGAATGAATTGGAAAGGACCCAGCACCAATATTCAGTAAATGTCTGTAGAATCTAAATGTGCCTTTTGTAACATTCTCTCCTTATTAAACTCCAATTGAGAAAATAGTGTATTAAGATAATAATGACAAAAACTGAGGCAGCAAGTGATTGTGTATGTCAAGCACATGTTTCTTTGTTTTCTTTTTCTTTACCCACCAGGAGACACAATCTTCTTTGAAACTGCAAATGCATAGCCACCCTATGAAGACTTCCTAAGAGAATTTCTTTGTTTGAATGGAACTTGCATGTACATGCTTTCCACATTTTACCTTTCTCCCATCCTACTTAACACATACTTTTTTGACTACCATTACTTCTCCTGCTCAATGTATTTTTCATTTCTGTATAGACTTGATTTAAAATTATTTTCATCTCTAGAGATGAGGGGATATTTTTCAATATAAAATAAAAATTAAACGGAGCTCGCTCATGCTTAAATATCTCCCCTGGTCTCAGACTCTACCACTCATCATTTATTAAGTAAAGATTTTGCAACCCGAACATGAAAGAGAAACAACTTTCTGCTCAGTTGCTCAAGACATCATAAATGATTGCTGTGATATCTGAGTACTACTGTTGGTTGTGAGTGCTGACCTCACAGTGAGACTCAAATTTGATTGGTGTCTTCACCTTATCACATTTCTTATTTCTCTTATTTCACTCTTTTATACTGAGTAGGAAGTAACAAACATTTGCCATAGTTGTCCATGAATCAGTATTTGGGCAACAAAATCACTATACAACCCTGCTTTAAAAACTGCTGCAAAATATTTGCTTTTTACATTTGCATTTAATTGCCAATGTTCTGATTTTAGTGGTTATAACTCTTCTATATCTGGCTCTCATTCCTCATTAGAAGGACCGTCTTGCACAATAGTAGAAATTTAGAATTCAATTAATACAGTCACACTCCACAAACAATGGTGATATGATCTGAGCAAATTGGCCCACATGCCAAGAATTAATGAAAAACATTAGAAGCTCAGAGGAAGGAAGAGAAGAAAGAATGGGCTCCTTTCCATTAGTTTGATGGCTTTCTCATAATCCATATTTCATCGGTAACTGGTAGTATTTATGTTTAAAAATCAGATTACATCATGATATTATTGTGGAATCAGAACCATGTTGTAGCTGGCAACAAATGTACTTTGACAGGATTCAGATGAATCATCTTTCCTTGACCCTGCCTTATGACAGTGAACAAAGCAAAGAAAACGAAAGTGATGAAGCAACATGTCAGTGAGAACTGGGTGCAAAGCCATTTTACTTTATTTGAATGTTATGAAAGTGGGATACTCATTGACTTTACGGTCAAATTTACAGGTCTGATTTCCTTGGCTTAGCTCTTTGTTTGTCATGTTGTTTTGCCTTCTAAAAAAGAAATCATATCTAAGCTTCCCATCTAAAATATAGCCAGTATCCTAATTCTCGTGTCAAGGCTGAGTGTTGAGCTTGCACTAATTCATAAGATTTTTAAAGGATTGAAAATGAGACTCAACATGCACTTGTTCTTTGTCAGTCAAATGGGCATGATGTCAGGAAGAGGCCCATGCCCTCTGGACCTCTTTCTTTCTGACTTTTTCTCTCTGTGAGGAAGTCCGTTAGGGTGTGTAACTGGTTTGAAATCTAGGAAGCATCTTAACCATGGTTTAACCTGTAGGGAGTCTCACAGAGTGTTGAAAATCATAACTGCAGACTTGTTTCTAGACTACTGAGCCCTTGGACTGAGAGGCACAGTTGAGAATCGGAAAGGAAAAATTTGATAAATAATAGCTATGAAGAAGTCATCAGATGGCAGATTGAAATGAAACTTAGAAATGGCAAATGGGAGACAGCTGATAAGGGAAAGGACAAGAAATTCCTAGTGATATAAGTGAAGATCAGAAAAATAGTGCAAGTAAAGTATTACTCCGGTCCTTAAGAGTCTGACTTTAGGGGAGTGTCTATGGTGCCACTTCCAGCACATTGTGAACAGATGTTTTCCCGTAGATTTTTAGAATGAGATTTTCAAGAGCTGTGGACCAGAGTAAAAGGACTGATGTAGTGTGAAATTAGAGTTGTAAGTGATTAACAAAATGGAAAGTTTCTGCCCTGTAACTGTTAAATGACCTTGCTAGAGTCTATATTCCATGGTGATATGCAAATATTAACAGCTTACAAGTAGTTAAGCATATCAGATAGACTCTCCATATAAACCATGAAAATTCGATTTCATGCAGGGACATATAAGGTGGCCTAGCATTACTAATGTTGCTATTTACCATCTAACTCTTGCTTCTTTCCTCCTCTAGAATTCATTTTATGTACTCAGTCTACTTTAGAAGATTATACCCCCAACTCCTAACATTTGAGTATCTAGAAGAGTGGCATTAATGTTAAAGGTAAAGACGTTTCTTCAGAGGTTGACAATTTTGAATCAGAACATTCTCGGTAGAAAGGAAGCATTAGGGCCTTCTAATCCTACCATTTATCTGTTGCTTAAATTCCTTCTAGAAAAGTTTTTTTCAATTAAATTCTGCCAGAAATGAGACCACAGGTATTTACATTCAACAGGTATTTACTGAGAATCCATCACAAGCTAGGCACTGTGCTGGGAATACAGTGGGAAACAAGACAGATACCATACCTGCCTTCATGGAGCTTGTAATGGAAGACAAATAACTAACATATAAGCCAATAAAGAAAGACAGGGATTTCAGGGAATCACAAGCACTATGAAAAAGTAAAGCAGATTGAAGTATAGTTGAAACTAATGCTCTAAAATGTTTGCAAAACCCCCAGGCTATCTCACCCATGCCACAGCAATATGCAAACACCATTAATGAAATTGGAACATCGGGGTCTCCCTTGTTCTATGAGGGCAAAATATTAACTATAAATTTGGAAAGAGAAAGAAACTTGACAATGCATACTTGTTTATCATATATTATTGAATACCTTCTATGTGCCAGGCACTGCAGGAATATTAGTTCGTGAGCATAGAAACTTTTCATTGTTCACAACTATATTCTCTAGAAAAGTCCCTGGAACAAGGTAGGTGCTCACTATGTTATGTAACTGAGTGAATACACAAATACAAGGCACTTGAAAAGCAATACATAAGTTCATTACTATAGTACTTCTAAGAAGTAGAAGATTTTCACATTTTACAGATGAGGGAATAAGGTCTTAAAAAGCTAAGGTAGTGGATTAAGACTGCACAGTAATGAGAGATGGAGCTAGCACTCAAGGGGAGGTCTACTTTTTAATCTAGTGTGCACACTCACAAGGCCACTACTCATGGCAGTGGGGTCTGGAGAAGCAAATTTCCAAGGCAAACTTTGAACATGGCACTCTTCGGTGTAATTATTTTTTCAATGATTTTTTCATCTTTCAAATTTAGGTTTAAAACCTCAGATTTGAACAGAGCCCTCCAGGATCCAGTCCCTGCCAAAGCCTAGACTCCTCTGTAATTCTTTGTATCAGTCTCTCGAGATTTCCTCACTCTCCCGTATAATTCAATTTGCCTTCAGAGAATTACATTTCTCACCACCTCCATGTTTTCCGTATACTACCCCATTGCATGAAGTGTCCTTCACCTTCTCTTTTGCTTTTAAAATTCCTGCTAATCCTCCAAAACCTAGCTCAAGAGCTACCCTCTACAAGAGTCTTCTGTGAACCCTAAACCAGCATAAGGCACCCTTCCCTTATCATCCTGTAACTCTCTACATACTTCTCCACCATACAGCTTATTAAATCCTTAAGTTGCTTATTGTACTGATCTATCTGCCACCATGACTTTGTGCTTTACAAGACTGACTGTGTATTTTAGTTCATTCCTGCACTTTTCTTACTTAGCGAAATGTCTGCTATAGTAGGCAACTAATTAATGTTTAATGAATGGATAATGAAAAAACAAATGAATCCTGGAATGAATAATCAAGGCAGTAGTACCTGTGAGGATGGACTCTTAGCAGCAAAGTTTAGGAGAGTATGAAATAGTTGACAAAAAGAGGTCAGGCATCACTGATGAACAGAACAAGGGGATACACAAAGAAAGAGTGACTCACCAGACGCATGGATGAGACACCGCTGAGTCCCCATGCTGTAATACAACTTGGTTAAATCCCAGCTACCAAACTTGAGGTTGTTGTGGGAATAGAAGGAGAAATTATTTGTATTTAGCAGGTTACAAATCAATTGATTCAACTCTGGAGGGAAAAAGGGATTGAGAATTTGCCTATGATAAAGCTGTGACTTATAAATTGGGTTTTGTTTTTTTTTTTTCCCCCTCTCTGAGGTTCTCTTGAAACCCTGTACTCTTTTGAAAAGGTTTTGCAACAAGCTGAATTGCTAAAAGCTGCACTCAGAGACTGTTTCACTGTCACTGGAATGAATTACTCCTTCACGAATTTTGTACCCAGAGAACATCTCTTTCTCTTTGGAGCTCTTCTGGGTATTGATTTTGACTCAAATGTATCTTACCAAAATAAAAACGAAGGAAAGCTTCCAATCAATTTTTGTTTTAGTTGAAAGCATACAGCTTTTCAAAATAGATTTTTTTTCCCAATGGTGCAGAATACAGAAGGCAAAGAAGGCCTGGGATTGGGAATTTTGATTCTTCTGAAATTTATCCCTTTGTTTACATATCCATCTTTCCCAAGTCCTTAAGTAGCACTGTTATTTTTCTCTATTCTGGTGTGATTGGCTATACTTTGCTCCTAGAAGATGCCCAGTAAATAACAGTCAAACAGAATTAAAATAATGACAGCTATAACGATGCAGTAGAACTAAGTTTTAGAAATAATTAAGAAAGGCATAGCCTACTTTCCTTAAAAATTGGCACATTTAGAACATAAACTCTGAAGCTTCACTGTCTAGGTTCAGGATCTAGCTCAACCACTTACCAGGTTTGTGATCTCGGACAAGGTACTTATATCTCTCTCCGTAGCCTTGTCTGTAAAATGGGAAGGGAAACAGTATCTACCTCATAATGCTCTTGTGAGAATTAAATGAACTAATACATGTAAAATGCTTAGAACAGGGTGAGTATATATTAAGACCAATGTAGATACTAGATATTTTTATTATTATAGAACTCTCCCCCTACTTTTATGTGCTATTTTTTTCTAGAAATTGTAGCTAAAATGAGAATGTTGAATATCTAGACTTACGTATTAATAAGTTTGTTAAACAAAACTTATAAACTAAGTATGTATTACCTCCTCTTTGGATTGGTGAAATAATAAGTGGGTTTGTGTACAAGAAAGTCACATAAAACAATGGCGGCTCAAAGATTATAAGCGATCAAAGATAACCAAATTAAAGCAATTTGAATTTAAATTGGGATCAGTGAAAGTTAAATTAGTTTAGGCTATCCATTAACCTTTTCTTTACTTCATTCTGTGTTGAATCTTATAGTCTGCAAATATACCGTCTGAGTCATTGTTATGTAGTAAAGAAAGCAAAGGCCATGAAACTTATATGAACCTGGCCTGGAATTTTGCCTCCGCAGCTTTTTATGAATGTAGGCATAGCATGAATTTTCTCTATACCTCATTTTTCTCAATTATATTAATAATAAGGTCATTACAGTAATATGATTAACTACAATGTAAGGGATGACTTTTAGACACACACACACTATATACATACAGTCATGTGCCACATAATGTTTCAGTCGATGATGGAACACAGATATGACAGTGGTCCCATAAGATCATAATGGAGCAGAAAAATTCCTATGGCCTGGTGACATGGTAGCCATAGTAATATCATAGCACAACACATTACTTACATGTTTGTGGTGATGCTGGTGTAAAAGTATAGCACATACAATTAGGTACAGTGCATAGTGATAATAATACAAACTACATGCTACTGGTTTATGTATTCACTATTTATATTTTATTACTGTTTTAGAGTATACTCAATTTATTTATTTTTTAAATAGTTAACTGTAAAACAGCCTCAGGCTATTCCAGAAGAAGGCATTGTTATCATAGGAGATGACAGTTAAATATGTATTATGGACCCTGAAGGCCTTCTAGTGGGATGAGATGTAAAGGTGGAAGACAATGATATTGATTATCCTACCCTGTGTATGGCTAGGCTAATGTAGGTGTGTCTTAATTTTTAACAAAAAAATTTCAAATGTAAATGAAAAACAAAAAATTAAAAAATAGAAAAAGCTTATAAAAAAAGATATAAAGAAAGAAAATATTTTTGTACAACTGCACAATGTATTTGTGTTTAAGCTAAGTGTTATTACAAAGGAGTCAAAGAGTTAAAAATATTAAAAAGTTTATAAAGTAAAAAAATTACAGTAAGCTAACATTAATTTATTATTGAAGAAAGAAATTTATTTTTATAAACATAGTGTAGTCTAAGCATACAGTGTTTATGAAGTCTACAGTATTGTATAGTTATGTCTTAAGCCTTCACATTCACTCACCACTCACTCACCGACCCTCCCAGAGCAATTTCCGGTTCTGCCAGCTCCATTCATATAAATGCCTTATACAGGTTTACCATTTTTAAACCTTTTATATCATATTTTTACTGTATCTTTTCTATGCTTAGATATATTTAGATGCACAAATACTTACTATTGTGTTACAACTGCCTAAACTATTTGGTACAGTAACATGCTATACAGATTTTTAACCAGGAGCCATAGGCTATGTGATACCACATAGCCTAGGTGTGTAGCTGGCTATACCATCTGTGTTTGTGTCAGTACACTTTATGATGTTTGCACAACAGTGAAATGGCCCAATGCAGCATTTCTCAGAATGTATTCCCATCATTAAGTAATGCATGACTGTATTTTCATACATGCACATATTTATAGACACTGGCATCAAACAGTACATCATCACAACAATTATTATTATTTCAGTTTTACAGGTCCTCTCACCAACGTGTCACTTTAAGCAATTTGTCAAAGTCACATAGTTTAGAATAAGTGGCAGATCTAGAATCTGGACCCCAATATTTTCGCTATAAAGCCGTGATCTTCTGCTTTACCATGCTGCCTCTTATTACACAACTGATTTGAGTATTTAGTGCAGTAATATACAAAATATCTAGTATGAGGTCCAGCATATGATAAGTTCCTGATAAATATTACTTACTAGATTTCCTTGTAAAAATGATGGTGATGACAGCAATAGTGATAATAAAAATAATTTTATGAGGCATTTATCATCTATATTTTATGTGGTTTACTTTTATTAACTCACCTAATTTTCACCACAGTCCTAGGAAGGCAACATTGTTATTAGCCTCATTTTAAAGATTAAAGAGAGAGAAAGAGGTTGGCTGGAGAGAGAGAGAGATGGGGTTGGGGTGCAGGAGAGGTTGAAACTTTTCCAGGACTACCTAAGACTTAATTCTAAGAATATATGTTTATCCATATTCAGCAACCACCTGGTTTATAAATGTTTCAAAAAACACCTTGCCTCTTGAAGAGTGATTCTATTTTTCCTGTTTTCTAATACTTTATTCTGAAACAACTACTTATACCATGTGTATATTGCTTAAAATTATCAATCATACTGCTCTTTCTTTTTTATCCTAGCAAAGGAGTTTTATCCCAGTCTCTATTTAAAAAGGAAAAATTAGATAAGAAATTTCAGCAACAGGGCTAAAGTTTATTCTTCCATAATGTAGTTATCTTTAGAAAAGAAATTATGTAAGCATTGGGTCTAGGATGGAGCAACAGATTAGCTTTTGAGTCCTTGAACTATAGGGTACTTCATGATTAGTTTAACTTGTCAGACATTCTGAAGACACATCTCTCCCACTTTTAAAGTAGATAATCTTGCCCTTTCCTCTTGTTCACTTTATTTTGCCTTCTATCTGTGTGTGGTGGATTGGAAAGAGGTTTTATGCTCTATATGGCAAAATTATTTGCAAGATGCTATGCGAATGTGATACTAATGCTGACTGAGCTCATACCAATGGTCAGCTGGGGGAAAAAACAGCTTTCTTCCTTTCTCATTTATTGCAAGGAACACTTCTCTATGCTGGTGCTAAGCTGTTCACTCATCATTGAAATGTAACAAGCGGGCCATTGAATATGCTTCTTGAATCCTCATTTAAAAAAAAAATCAATGGTTGTCATTTTGCAATGGGGATTAAGACCTAATTCATGTCTAACGTCTGTTGCTTGACTAGGTGACTGGATGTATGAGAGTTGAATTACTGATATATTTCAAGTAAATGGAATACCAAATTTCCTGACTTCTTGAGAATAGCCACACAACTAAATCATGTTCTCTATACAAATTTCCTTGGAAAGTTGTACACAAATCCAAATATGGAAACAAAAAAGGTGATAATAAGGCTAGGTTAGGTATATATTTACTCAACATAAAGCAATTTCACTCTTGCTATTAATTGGACCCTGTGCAGTATAGAGAATTCCTGAGCTTCTAGTTTTTATCTATTTAAAATAAAAGAAAGAGGACCGTCTTAGTTTCTATGGGATGCTGTAACTAAATACCTTACACTGGATGATTCACAAATAACATAAATTCATTGTTCACACTTCGGCAGGCTTGGAAGTCCATAATCAAGGCACCAGCAGATTCAGGGTCTGGTGTGGGATCGCTCTCTGCTTCAAAGGTAGCACCTTCTCAGTGAATCCTCACGTGGCGAAAGGGACAAACAAGTTCCCTTTGACTTCTTTTATAAAGGCGCTATTCCCATTGGTGAGGAAAGGGCTTTCGTGATCTAATTACCTTCCAAAAGCCTGATCTCTTAATATCATCACCTTGGAGCTTAGGTTTCAACACATGCATTTTTTTTTTGGTGGGAGCACAAACATTCAGACTATAGCAAGAATTATAACACTGAATTTCAATAACAATACATGGGGATAATATGAAAAAAGAAAAAGAAATATATATAGATTCCTAATATATATTATATATATATGTATATCTCTTTTTCTTTGAAAATGAGTACCAGGAACTTATATATAATATATATATTATATATATATATTTTCCTTATATACAATATATATTATATGAATATATATTATATATAAATATATAATATATACAATTATTCCTTATATATTACATATATAAATATATATAATATATATTCCTAATCAAGGAGTATATATTTTATATATATAATAAGAAATATATATATATATATAATGTATATATAATAAGAAATATATATATATATAATGTATATTCCTAATCAAGTTCCTGGTACTCATTTCATGCTTAGTAGAGAGGGCTAAGTAGGCAAATACTAAATTAAATGAGAAATAGATCCTGTCCTTGAGTTAACAGTCTAGAAGGCCATACAGACATCTCAAGGAGAGGTGATTAATCTATGACTGAAAATTATTAAACATATTTCCCAAATATATCCATCTCGCCAGTGTCCTGAGGTCAAACCTGGAACCCCTTCTTAGCCATCAAGCTGCTTCCATCTATATATTTTCCACAAATGGATAAAAAGCTTCTCTTCATCCCATATGTATCACTTAAAACATTTCACTGAAGCTTTTTCATCTGAAGTTTGTACATACATATTAATGTAATAGATTTTTCTCCTCCTGCTCCCTTTACAGCTCTTATTACAGAGGGAAAAATGAGTATTCTTTCTAATATTGCTGATGAAGTTCTAAAAAGCTAGTCACTCTTTATAGGTCATTCTGGTAGCTGTTTATTTGCTAAATGGTTTGATGTTGGCACCATTTTCAGATCTGCAGACTTAGAAAAGTCACTTAACCTGCCCAGAAAGGACTCAGCTTCATAAAATAGAAAGTATAATATATATTTTACGAGTATTTTGAAGACAATATGAACTAATGAAGGGAAAAGCTCCTAGATGCAGTATCTGGCTCAAGTTATTTGGACAGTCAGACTATATATTAATTAATTGAATTTACAAATTTTAATCAAGAAACAGTTATGAGGTATAAACATGTACCAGAATGTGAAAATAAATACATCGAGAGAAATGATACTTGTAAATTAATGTGTGGTGTATTAAAATAAAGTTAAATATATTTTCAAAACTTTATACTTCATTTAGAAAGAAACATCACATTGTTTCAGGAGGGTATATCAAGGTTATCAGCTGTATCAGCAAGGGTCCTGGCAGGAAGAACATGGTGCCTTCAAACTGTATAATTTAAGGAGAGTTTAAATAAAGGGCTATTTAATGGTTTTAAGGAAACTAACCCGAGACAGTGCAGTTTATCAATGCTAGTAACCCTGAGGAGTCTTTACCACCCATGAATAGACAAGTGGAAGGAATGCTCCTAGACCCTGGAGAGGGGAGCTATGTGGGGAGGGCTGTGCAGTAGAGAGTGGCTAACAGTGTGGGATATAGGTAACCATGGTGATGTGACCTTACTCTTCACCTACTCTCACACCTCCTGCCAGTGCTGACCACTAGCTGAACCCAAACCAACATTGAAAGACAAGGGAAATGCATACCTGACAGTCTCCTGGGAACCAGAGCAGGGTGGAGAAAGGTGAACATTGGGTCTGGAGGGGCAAATGAAAGATAACCAGGACAGAAGAGGAGGGTCAGCAACACAAATAAAGAAATGGCCATAATGCATTGGAATGTACATGAAAGTAGGGGATATTTTAAATATCATAAGGACAAAGATAAAGACAACTTAAATATGTGTTTCTCAAGATTATCTTCTGCTCATTGTTCATGGTTTCACATCCTTGGGGCTTTCCAGCTGTTTACTTCTGAAATGTTATAACAGCCCTTGACTGTGATAAAAAAAAAAAAATCTTTACTTCTGGTCTTATATCTCTTGATTTGCCTACAATTTAAAGACCCAAAGACTACGCTATTGTCCCAACCTGAATGATCCCATGTGATGTTTGAGAAGTTACTTACTTTTTCTGGAACTCAGGTGAGACCACCTATAAAACAATGACCTGAATGCATTGGTCTCTAAGACAGATTCAGCTTCTAGGATTCTGTGCTCAAATGTATGGCTGAGACAGCTGCAGGCAGGAAAGGTTCTAAACCCTAGGGTAAATATGATAAACTTTGCTCAACTGGGCTAATATTAGATAGAGGTGGTAAAAAGTGAAGTTCTGCCCGTTAGCATCCTTCATATAGGTTTGGTGATTTTAAGTGACCAAAATTTTGTCTGCACTAAGTCATCCATGCAGATAAATTCTAAGGATAATAAATACAATAAAAAATCACTGTAGTCCTCCATTTAGATACCTTTCTACAGTTAACATATTGCTGGTGTGAGTTTTCCTATATTGCTCTCCTCAGGCCATCTTTCAATTCATGTAGGAGACAACTAGAATTAAGTCTCCAATTAAATTTTTAAAAGAGACCGCATCAAATGCTTTGGTAAAATCAACACTTACATCATTAACACAACCTTAATTATGCTGTCCCCTAACAGAAGGTTAGTATATCCTACAGGCTGTTGTGTAATCTTTCACGGATATGCTTTTGGCTTTTGTTCTGAACATAGTTTCAATGAGTGATTTCAAAGGCAGGCACTGGGACATGAGCTCTTACCCACTTGATCTCACTGATTCAGAACAGCCCAGTGAGAAAAGATATAAACTTTTCCATTTATAGATGAGCACCCTGAGTCCTTCTTTCCTTTGCACATGATGTTGTTTTCGTCCAGAGATGCCCTTCTCTCCAATTTCTTTAAGTGATCTGCTCCCTATTCATCTTTCAAAACTTAACACAAGTATTACCATCTTAGCAGGTCCCGAGGAGAGGCAGTGTGGACTGGTGCTTTAGAGAGGGGGATTTGGAGCTAACAATGCTTGCATGTGAACATGAACCCTGACATTTACTAGCTGTGTGTCCTTGGTCACATGATTTAACTTTTATGCTCTCCAGGGATCCCATCTAAAATGTGGGAACACTTGAAATACACAATGCATTTATCCTCCTTTGTACATAGATGAGTTATTTGTGAAAAAAAAAAGCCTTTTAAAAGAGGTGAAATGTTCTTCTTTCCAATTTTTTTTTTTCCTGCTGACTGGAAAGTTGAAGTAATGACTAGATCTATAACTACTATGTTACATAATGAGGCATCTGCCCATGAAACAAAACACCAAAATAATATAGAAGACAAAATGGAATTATTCCAGGCCTTCATCATTGTGGTCAATCTATCTCTGGACAACCATGTAAATGACAGAGAAAACAAATAAAATATCTACCTTATTTAATCCGAAAATCTATTCATATAATTAAGAAAGGAGAAAGATAATCAGGGCTAATCACTGGCCATCAGAGAAATCCAAATCAAAACCACAATGAGATACCATCTCACACCAGTTAGAATGGCAATCATTATAAAGGCAGGAAACAACAGGTGCTGGAGAGGATGTGGAGAAATAGGAATACTTTTACACTGTTGGTGGGACTGTAAGCTAGTTCAACCATTATGGAAGACAGTGTGGCGATTCCGCAAGGATCTGGAACTAGAAATACCATTTGACCCAGCCATCTCATTACTGGGTATATACCCAAAGGATTATAAATCATGCTGCTATAAAGACACATGCACACATATGTTTATTGCGGCACTATTCACAATAGTGAAGACTTGGAACCAACCCAAATGTCCAGCAATGATAGACTGGATTAAGAAAATGTGGCACATATACACCATGGAATACTATGCAGCCATAAAAAAGGATGAGTTCATGTCCTTCGTAGGGACATGGATGAAGCTGGAAACCATCATTCTCAGCAAACTATCACAAGGACAGAAAACCAAACACCACATGTTCTCACTCATAGGTGGGAATTCAACAATGAGAACACATGGACACAGGAAGGGGAACATCACACACTGGGGCCTGTCGTGGGGTGGGGGGAGGGGGGAGGGATAGCATTAGGAGATATACCTAATGTAAATGACGAGTTAATGGGTGCAGCACACCAATATGGCACATGTATACATATGTAACAAACCTGCACGTTGTGCACACGTACCCTAGAACTTAAAGTATAATAATTAAAAATAATTTAAAAAAAAGAAAGATAATCAGGGCTAAATGTACATGCAGGAATGAAGAATGTTCATTTGTCTTGGGTTCACTTCTGTTGAATTATTGAGGATCAGGAACACACTCACATGCCTCGATGAAGCTTATACCCATATGCACTTGGGTCTCAGCACTGCCTAGAAGGCCCAGCATCCCGGGATCTTTATTTTCCTACTCAAACTTCTTTCTTTTCTTCAGATTAAACTTAGCTGATTCCACCGTATTCCTGAGCAGAACAGGTTATCTAGCCCCCTTGCAAACGATCAGAGGACCTATCCATTTTCTTGCAGCTCTTATCAATTTAGAATTAAAGTGTGTTTACATCTGTGTCTTCTACCAGAGCGTGAACACTATGGACACGGGGCCCACTGTCTGTCTCCACTGACGAACACCCAGAATTCTGCAAGATGTCTGGGGAGAACATTCACTATTTGTCTCTATACTCATACATCTTTTGGGAAACTTTTTAGAATATCATATTCAAACTAAAGAAAAAGCCATTAAAACATGTTTTAAATAAATGAATAAAAGACAGTATGCTAAATACTTTACTAGACACTGTGGAAACATTTTCTCATTTAATCCTCATGACAATCCTGTGAGGTAGACATTGTAATATAACAAATAAGAGGCCCCGAGTCATAAGGCTAACAAGTCACTGAAACTGGATTAGACCACAGGTTGGTCTATCTAATGCCCTATTTTACTATTCTGAAGTTCTCCAGAAGGGTCACAAGAAAAAGAAATTTCAGGAAGCTACAAAATATCCCTCTCTACCTATCATCCACCATCCAAGCACAGTATCAACAGCAGAGTTTCATTTGCTTCTTCTCTCCAGAAGAATCAGATCAAGGGGCCTCCTAAGAATCAGAGTCAAAAGGGATCAACCAGTCCATGGCTTTGTGTCTATTTGATATAACAAGCTATGGAAATTCTAGTTCACTCACTGTATATAAAACTCAAATTTGGGGAAAATATATCTATTTTCCCCAAGAGATAACATATCCTACTCTAGTAGCTATATTTGCATCTTACATAGCAGATGGAAACAAAGGATAGTGAAAAGATTAACTGGCTACTTCTGTATACCAGAAATAAAGGCATATGTTCTTCATGGCAAGAAAGCGAATTTGTCTCAGCATCCCTTCACCGAAAGATGCCAGGTTGGCTTCAGGTTTCTTGGTTTCTTAGTCCAAATGGCGTTTTACTTTCCTTTTGTACGGTAATTTAGAAAGTCAAAGTTCAGCGCATTGTCTTGCTCAGTCTCAAAAACCTAACAAACACAAGCACCAAGGTACTTCTGATTCCAAAGATCATGCATTCAGCTGTTTTATAAGCTCAATTTCTGAGTAAGACAACTGTGTCCATAAGCAAATCAAAAATAAGATTTTTAGCACTTCTCAAATTTATGAGTTTGATAGCTCTGACCATACTCTGAGATTCTCAAGCAGGATCGAGTTTAGTATTTGTTATCCTAGTTCAACCATTATGGAAGTCAGTGTGGCGACTCCTCAGGGATCTAGAACCGGAAATACCATTTGACCCAGCCATCCCATTACTGGGTATATACCCAAAGGACTATAAATCATGCTGCTATAAAGACACATGCACACGTATGTTTATTGCGGCAGTATTCACAATAGCAAAGACTTGGAACCAACCCAAATGTCCAACAATGATAGACTGGATTAAGAAAATGTGACACATATACACCATGGAATACTATGCAGCCATAAAAAATGATGAGTTCATGTCCTTTGTAGGGACATGGATGAAATTGGAAATCATCATTCTCAGTAAACTATCACAAGAACAAAAAACCAAACACCGCATATTCTCACTCATAGGTGGGAACTGAACAATGAGATCACATGGACACAGGAAGGGGAATATCACACTCTGGGGACTGTTGTGGGGTGGTGGGAGGGGGGAGGGATAGCATCGGGAGATATACCTAATGCTAGATGACGAGTTAGTGGGTGCAGCGCACCAGCATGGCACATGTATACATATGTAACTAACCTGCACAATGTGCACATGTACCCTAAAATCTAAAAGTATAATAAAAAAAAAAGAGAGAATTAGCCTTACCTGTCCTAAGAATTCATCTCTATTGCACCCTAGCAGTGTCATGACAGTCACTTTAGTGCCTATGAGCTTCTGTGCATGCAAAGTGGTGGTATTGATCTTTATTTTATGTCTATCACAAAGTTGTAATGACAAGAAAGTGAAACTGGAAACACCTGGGTTATAAATTAGAGACATTAAGCAAACATTATTCATGAATATGGTTATTCAAATTCTATTTATCTTTTCGGGGTTAGCTCAAAAATCCTGTTCTTTTTGAGCCCTTCCTTGATGACTTGAAGTCACGATGATATTGCCCTTTTTGGAATTCCTACTGCACAATACACACTTTGCAGCAATTAACTTTTTCTCTAAGTGTTTTACGTTTACTATTTGGTCCCCGCTAAACTGCACCTCAGCTCATTGCAGGTACAGATACATCATTTCCTACCGGGCTGAATTCTTCCTCATTTCTCAGCGATGCTCAGCCCTCTCAGAAGTTCAATAAGTAAACAGTTGATATAGAGTTTAAGATTTAAATTAGCTTTGATGTCCAAACCCTCAGCATAGCATGCAAGGCCCAGCATAACTTTCTAGGTGTATTATTTACAATTCTTATAGCCAGTGTTCTAGTCACAATAAAGAATCACCAACCCCTGGACACCTTATCCTTCATGCTAGCTGCCTTTGTTCAATGCTTTGTCTTTTACCAGGAAGATTCCTCCTACTCTTTCCACTTGGAAGCTCATCTTTCATCTTTTTCTGAAACAGGCACCATCGGTAGCTACCAATGCATGTTGTCAGTATGTATGCTGATGTTTCTGTCAATTAAAAGAATTCATACATCACAATATAGTTACTTCATGTTTATCTTTTCTACTAAGCTCTGACCTTTATGAGGACAGAGACCACAGCTTTTTCATAGTTTTTTAATATCTAGCACATCACATAGCAGGTACTCAATTTTATTTTTTAATTAGTTTGATTCGATTTTTCATTCCGGACTTTAAAAAAAGTCTACGATAAACATTTTGCACCAATGCATTAGCATTTGGGTACTGACATCTTATTCTTTCTGACTGCTAAGTGTGTGTTACTGTCCCAGATTTAGGGTAACATGTGGCTTATCTTTAGGCTGATTTATCAGATTGTTTTTCAACGAGATATGTGGCAACCAGCTGGCAGACCCTATCAGTCTGACTATTCCTGGTTCCATCCAACCCTGTTGGTTCAGGCGCCTTTAGGATAACAAATACTAAACTCGATCCTGCTTGAGAATCTCAGAGTATGGTCAGAGCTATCAAACTCATAAATTTGAGAAGTGCTAAAGCTCTTATTTTTGATTTGCTTATGGACACAGTTGTCTTACTCAGAAATTGAGCTTATAAAACAGCTGAATGAATGATCTTTGGAATCAGAAGTACCTTGGTGCTTGTGTTTGTTAGGTTTTTGAGACTGAGCAAGACAATGCGCTGAACTTTGACTTTCTTCTCTGTAAATGGGGCATAAAAAATCGGGTTGTTTTGAGGATTACAGATAATGTTTATAAAGCACTTAGCTTACTACTCAGTACGTAATAAACTCTCAATAGATGATAAGTCTTATGGCAATGTTTGACCTATGTAGACATTATTGAAGACTGCTGTTTCCTAGGATTGTGTTAAGGAATGGCATAGACCTATCAAAACAGAGACGGGTAAAGGGAAAATTCTTACGTTTGAGGACTTTAATCATGTTGGAACAACTGTGAGGTGAATTTTTTAAAAAAAATTATTATGAGGCAATTTGAGAGCAATGCTGAAGGTTGAGGAGCACACATGACAAGGAAATAATCCAACTGAATGAGATAAGGAAGGGTCTCCAGAGGATGAAGTGATGTATGGGCCAGGAGTACCCACTCAATCTGAGTAACTCTGACCTCCCCAGATATGTCAACTCCATCAATGGGAGTGAGAGGGCCCCCATACAATGGGAGTGAGCACATTTATCCCTGACAGGGGTCAAGGGAGAACCCATTCACACACCTCAGAGCCCAAGCTCACTAACCCAGCCTCTCTGTCACTGCAGGTTTGAGACCACCAGAACTCATCGTAATGAGGCTTTCCATTGCTGTTTTCATCCTCAGCTGCAAGAAGCCCCAGCATCGGTCACCTTTCGTCTCCCAAACTTTTATCTCCATATAGCAGAATCTCTTAGTCCTATCTTTAAATCCCTCCACTAAACCCTCTGGAATTCAGGATTGATCATCTTCAAAATTGCCTATATCCTCTAAATGTACCCTTCACTTTTTTTGCTCTTACCAAAAACTGTTCCCATTCCTTCAAGGACTCTGCTTCCCATTCAGCCCCTCTCAAGTGAAGATCTTTTTATTCTCCTCTAAGTCTGTACCACTAGGATGAGAGCTGGGTTTTGTCTTCTTACTCCCCATGGCCACTTGTAGACTATTCTCACACCCTACTTCAATGGTATGCCAGGGCTGGCTTGAACCTACACATGAGAGCTGATTGTGCCTATCTCTTCCCAGCTCTGTCTTTAACGATATTCTATTACTACCTTGGAGGCACCAGGGTGTCATTTACATCATGGAAATTGGCAGACAAAAAATCAGAGCTGTTTTGTTCTCCAGAGAGAGCTGGTTGCTATTAGGTTGGTGAAAAAGTAATTGTGGTCTTTGCCACCGCTTTGAATGGCAAAAACCGCAATTAACTTTTGCATCAACCTAACACATATTTATGGGTACTTTACTACCCCACTCCCTGAAAATTCCTACCTTTAGATTTCACCACCCGTCATTCCTAGTTTATTGTCCATTTTCTGCAATATTACTCTGTCTTAGCACTTGTGTTATACACACATATATTCACATACATGCAGATATGAAAATGCATATATATGCACATACATATGTAAAACACATATGTAGAATCTATATGTAGATAATCTTCCAAACACTCTGACCTATCATCTCTGTGACCTCAATCCTCTCTCCAAATGATTTTGTCTTCCACTCTACCTTAACCACTTTCTATCTAGATCTCCAAAGATATTATATTTTGTAACTGCAATATTTCTACGACCTCAAATTCATGCACCATCTCTCTGACCACAATATCTTAACTTTCCAGTTCACTCCCTCCAGCACTCCCAATACGAAAAATCCTTTGACCTCACCAAGTCTTCCTATTCCTTTATCTAAGAGCTTCATTTCTGTTCCTCACCCATTTGAAGTCCTGTGTTCCCTTTTTATATAGCTTAAATTCCACAGCAAACATATTAATCACTTCTTTGCATGCCAGCTTAACTTCCTGACCCTTCTCATTGTTTGCATAATTCACATGTCAAAACTCTTGTTTAATCCAATTCTGGACCTGCTCCATTCATGTGTGCAGCAGCTGACTGTGGATAGAGAAAAAAAAAACAATATACAATTCGACTGATTAGTCTCCCTCTAAATCATGAGTGTGGACTCCAGGTTAGACCTTATTATTGTCAGACATATTTACACATCTGCAGTCCATTTACTTTCTGACTAACCTAGCAATTCTTCTCCCTCCTACATCATCAATTTTTCTTCTTTTATATTAAACTCCTCTCATTGGCATAATTTCTTATTTCTATTTCTTTCATAATAAAACAAAAACTCTTTGGAACTTAACTTCATCTTACAGCTAGCACTCTAGTTCTTAGCTGCCTTTGCATTCAAATTCTTTTAAAGAATTATCTGGGCCTGGCATGGTGGCTCATACCCATAATCCCAGCACTTTGGGAGGCCAAGGCAGGTGGATCACCTGAGGTCAGGAGTTCGAGACCAGCCTAGCTGACGTGGTGAAACCCCGTCTATACTAAAAATACAAAAATTAGCTGGGCGCAGTGGTGGATGCCTGTAATCCCAGCTATTTGGGAGGCTGAGACAGGAGAATAGCTTGAATCCGGAAGACAGAGGTTGCAGTGAGCTGAGATCACGCCATTGCACTACAGCCTGGGCGACAAGAGTGAAACTCTGTCTAAAAAAAAAAAAAAAAAAAAAAAAAAAAAAAAAAAACCACAATTATCTGTATTTCTCTGGAATTTTTCCTCATTTTTAAACTACTCTACATGGACTTCTAGTCTCACTGTGTTCTCAGAGCTGCTTAAATGAAGGTCATGTATGACACCCTTGTTGCCAGATCCAATGGGCAGTTCTCAGTACTGTTATCTTCCATGAGCTATCAGCAACATTTAAACAGTGAATCCCTGCCTCCTACATAATAAGTCAATGCATTCTTTGTTTTCCTCTCTACTTATTTTTGCTCTTCCTCAGTTCCCATTACTAAATAGTGCATTTCTCCCTGACCTTATAATTCTGGAGACCCCTGGGGCTGAATCCTTTGTCTTCCTCCTTCTCTACCTGCCTTTACTTTCTTGGGAGACTTCTCTAGGTTCATGGATTTAAAGCCCATGTATGTGGCCATGACCCTCCAATTTGTAATTTCTGCCCATCGCCCTCTGCTGAACTCCAAACTCATATATAAACCACTTATTAAACAGGTTGGGTATTTGATCTCAAAGCTAACATGCTGCAAACTGAACTGCTGCTCTTCATTGGGAAGTTTCTCAGGACAAAAAATTAGACTTATCCTTGTCCTTTGGTTTCAATCTTACTCTATTTCCAACCCGTCATGAAACGCAGTAGACTCTATCTCCAAAATACATCCAGAACCTGACCATTTTTCTTGTTTCCACTAGACTCACTGCCACTTTTTGCCTGGACTACTACAATAGCCCCTCAGTGTTCTCCCTGATTTCATCCTTGACCCTTGCAGCTCATTATTAAGTTAGTAGCCGGAATAACAAACGCTGGTGAGGTAGCTGAGGAAAGGGAATTCTTATACACTGTTGGTGGGAATGTAAATTAGTTCAGCCATTGTCGAAAGCAGTTTGGTGATTTTTCAAAAAATTTAAAACAGAACTACCATTTGACCCAGCAATCCCATTATTGGTTATACACCCAAAGGAATATAAATCATTCTACCATAAAGACACATGCATATATATGTTCACTGCAGCACTATTCACAATAGCAAAGTCATAGAATCAACAAAAATACCCATCAATGGTGGACTGGATAAAGAAAATGTGGCAGATATATACACTACACAGACGTAAAGAAGAATGAGATCATGTCCTTTGCAGCAATATGGATGGTGTTGGAGGCCATTATCCCAAGCAAACTAATGCAGGATGAGAAAACCAAGTACCACACATTCTGCCTTGTAAGTGGGAGCTAAACATTGATTACACATAACCACAAAGAAGGAAACAATAGACACTAAGGCCTACTTGTGGGTGGGGGATGGGAGAAATGTGAGGATCTTAAAACTACCTATTGGGTACCATGCTTATTATCTGGGTGATGAAATAGTCTGTACACCAAACCGGTGTGGCATGCAACTTACTTTTATAACAAACCTGCATACGTAACCCTGAACCTAAAATAAAAGTCAAAACACAATTAGCAGCCTTTTAAAACATAATTCAGATCTTGCCACACCTCTTTAGTGGCTCCCTATTTCCAAAGTATAAGACAGATTCCTTCCCTTGGCCTGTAAGTTTCTTCTCGATTTGCCCGCATTTCTCTCTCTGACTTCATGTTTACTATGCTTCCTTTAATTTCCTGGGTTCTCCTTGCTTACTAGAAGATATTGGGCATGAGTTCAACTTGGAGATTTTGTGTTGGATGTTCTCTCTGCCTGGAATGCTGTTCCCACAATATCCTCCATGCTACCATTTTCTCCTGAAAGTTTATGCTCAAGTTTTGAGTTCTCAGTAGGGTCTACTCACTCATCCTACTCACAATGACTACCCAGCCCTCCCCAGTCCTGTGTCAGGCAAGTTCATTGCCCATACCCTGCTCTCTCTCTTGTTTTTTCTTTTTCCCCATGCTACTTATAATATTCTATTATACTAGATAATTACCATATTTATTACATTTATTGTCTGTGTCTCCCTGCTACAATGTTACCTCCAAAAGGACAGGAAGCTGTGTGTGTGTGTGTGTGTGTGTGTGTGTGTGTGTGTGCTTGTATGTGTGTTTTCACTCTAACTTGTGTCTGATGTATTCCACATATCTTCTGGAAATTGTTTGGCATATGGTAGACTCTCAAAAATATTATCTGAATGAATAAATAGCTCAAATGAAAACTTTTAAAAATACATAGGGGTTAGGAAAAGCTATCTCTTTAAATCTCAAATTTTTTTTCTGTCCTTCAGCTATTTTATTATTTAGAAATGTCACTGCCTTTCTTTATGCCACAATAAAATCCATGTTAGGAGCTACATCTCAGGCTATTTTTTTTTCTTTTTCTATTTGTCCAAATTGCTGTTACCAAATTTCCCGGCTCCTCAGAATGAAAATGATTTTTTAAAATCCTGCCAGCATCTATTGGATACTAGTGACTTTCAATTATATGTTAGAGAAACTAAACTTCACTGAAAATCAGTTTACTCAGTTGTAAATGGGGCATAATATCTACCCAACCTTTTTTTGAAAAATTAAAAGAAAAACAATTTGTGACATAAATTAGGCACTATATAGAAGTTAATAATTGAACATTTACACATTAGGTGAGTGAATAAATGGGTGAATACATTGCTTAGTCAGCACAACTAAAATATGCCCTTGCTTATAAACCTTTTTGAAAATTTCATTGGAAAATAAATTAAATATTTAAAAAACATTTTTATTAAAATTGTTTTTTATCTTAAATAAAGTAAAAGCCAAGAGGTATTTCTCACTATGTTTACATAACATAAGCTAGATACTTACACATTAGATGACAATATCTTGGTGAAATATGAAAAATGTGTTTGTATTTCTGACAGAAAACATCCAGTTTGGTAGACACCCAAGAAAAACCATGCACATGTTCAATGACTGCATGTTATGTTGATTTTATCCATATAAAATAGGTGTGGTGATATGAGAGGTGAAAGAGAGTCATACATTTTTCTGTATGGTTTTTAATCTAATCAATGTTTTGTTCTATAGCCCAGATGGTTTGCTTTTTACTCTCCTTAATGCATGCCATAAAAGAGGAATTCTATAATATTCTAGAAAATTGAATTATATGACATTGACTAGTAGATAAAATGGCATTAAGATGGTTAGACGGCATTGCTAGGTGCTCACCCCTTACCCCCAGTTCAACGATGTAGACCTTGACACTATAGAGTTGAAATGTCTGATAATTACATGTCAGGTGAAAGTGGAATCTTCTGTACTATTCAGTCCATCTAGTTTATTAGGTCCCATCTCAAACATGCACAATGAGGTTAAGATCTAAAAATAGCAGCCTTGTACCTACTGATCCTCATGACAGCTCTTGAAGAGTTAGATCCAAAGAATGTTTTAATTACTTTCATATCACATTTACTTGCTCTATTTGGGTGCACCCTGATATTCAGACCTTTCCATTATGAGGTCAAGGACACCTGGCAAACAACGGTGTGTAAATGCAGGAGGTTGTCATGGAATACCAAGGAAGCAAAGAGTCTATAATAATGATAAAGCCATGATAAGCTCATCATCAAAAAGACTGTGAAAGTTCTAACAGGTGCCCAAGAAGGCTCAACTGAGAGCAACTCAAGGCAAGGAAAAGGGCTAAATCTTGATTCCTTCATTTCACCACATATAAAAAGGTAATAATAATAAATATGCTGCTTGGGAAGCAAATTGGACAGGAAGTGTGAAAGAATTTAGATAAACATCTGTTATATAAACATACGGAGCACAAATCATAGCAACAATACAAAGCAGTTTTTCTGTGTACATATGTGCCAGCTCTCATCATAGAAGATTAAACAATTAAATTAGTTTGACCTCTCTAACTTGACAGGTAGGGTAGTGTGGTAAAGAAAATAATGAATTTGCAGTTAGACTAACCTGTTTAGAGTCCTTGTCCTAACATTTCCTATGTGTGTGCTTTTGTGTAAGTGGCTTAAATTCTTCCTTTTAAAGAAAACAAAGATGATGTAGCATAGAAACAAATACATATACATCAATCACAGTGTGGTTGTGAGGTTAAATGATATAATGCATGTAAATACACCCTGCATAGTAAGTGCTCACTAAGTGCCACTAATCTTAGGCACTGGTCTAAGAAGTATATTTCATAGTCAACAATTCTGTCTTCACAGATCTTCCCAGTAAGGACTGCAGTAGCTTGGTATTTTGTCATTCATAACCAACTCAGGTTGCTAGAATAATAATACTCATGGAGCACTTATTACTTGCCAGGCCACTGTTCAAAGTAGTTTTCATGTAGTAACTCATTGTATTCTCACTTCAACATCACAAGGTAGATTATACAATGATCCCTATTTTACAGATGGGAAAAACAGGGCAGAGAGCTCACAGAACATTCCCAAGTTCATACAGCTAAGTAGTGACATAGCCATGATGTGAACCCAGGCAGCTAATCTCCAAAACCTATGTTCCATTTTTTTTTGTTTTTGTTTTGTTGTTGTTCTTTTTTTTTTCTAGGTTTTCTTTTTTTTTTTTTTTGAGACCGAGTCTCGCTCTGTTGCCCAGGCTGGAGTGCAGTGGCGCGATCTCAGCTCACTGCAAGCTCTGCCTCCTGGGTTCACGCCATTCTCCTTCCTCAGCCTCCTGAGTAGCTGGGATTACAGGCACCTGCCACCATACCTGGCTAATTTTTTGTATATTTAGTAGAGACGGGGTTTCACCATGTTAGCCAGGATGGTCTCGATCTCCTGACCTTGTGATCCACCCACCCTTGGCCTCCCAAAGTGGTGGGATTACAGGCGTGAGTGACCACACCCAGCCACCTATGTTCTTAAAATTGATATCACCCTGCCTTTCTTTCAGCTTATCCCTTAGCAAGTATGATAGTCTAGATTGGAGCAAAGGCCAGGAAACAGCAAGACCCAAACTTTTATGGATGCTAGAAGGCTTCCCTGCTCTGCTGAAAATGTTGGCATCTTTTGTACAGTGCAAATCTAACAGGAGAGATCCACGGTGGAAACACAGATGGAAAAAGCCTGGATGAGGTGTGATGTGGGGAGTGGGGGCATGTTTTCCTAGCTTCCTGTAGCTTATGATCCTACGTTCCTGTGTTGGAAAAGGAGTTTCTCACATCTTACATTATATATTTTTTCAATGGTTCCCTTTGCTTTATAAACCTCCAAAAGCTCCCTATTGCCTTCAAGATGAAGTCCAAACTTTGTATTTTGTTAGTGCAGGATGCACCCTGGAACTGCCCGTGTTTTCAGTCGTATTCACCACATCCCCTCTATTTCCTCACACACACACAATCTGCCCACCACAGGGGCAGTGATGTTTCATAATCACTGCTGACACTTCAGACGGCCACACCTTGCTGCTGTAAAACCACTTAGTATATATGCAAGGCACCTGAAAAGTTAGTAAACTCAATGCTTATTTCAGATATCATCTACTCTAATGAAGGTTTTTCCTGCTCCCCCTGGAAGAACTAATTCTTCTCTTTTCCTACACTGAAGAGTCTTTATTTCAACTATTGCATGGATCATTGTAATTAGCTGTTTCAACGACTGTCTCTCTCAGTAGAATGTGAGCTATTCCAGAGGAAGGACCACGTCTCATTCATCTAAATATCTCCACTGCTCAGCGATTTACTTGCATCATAATCAGTTCTCAATAAATGTTTACAGAATAGAATGAGATTAGTTATATCATAAGTATATTGGGGGGAATGATACATCCTTCATAACTTTCTGAAGAGCAAGCAGTAAAGATGTTGTAACAATTATTTTTAAAAAGTACACTGGACAAGTATCCAAAGAGAAAAGCAGGCACTGGGAATTTGGCAGGATAACTTTTCAATGTATTATTTAATTGGGGCTAGTTACAACAGTATAGTGATTAAAACACAAGGTGGGCTTTGTGAGTCTCAGACATAGGCTGGAATTATATCACCACTCACTTAATAGCTGTGAGACTTCTGGCTAGATATATACGTTTTCTACTCACTTTGGTCAGCTCTGAAATGGGCAAAGTGATACTAAATGGAAGGCTGGGGCAGGGGTAAAGGACTATGTGATAACGAACTATTAAATTCTTAATATACATCCTGGCCCCCACTAAGAACTTTATGTAATAATTTCACATATTCTCTTCCCTCCAAAAAAAAAATAACAACAAAAGATGAGTGATACGATATAGAATCCCAGTATGTAACATAATACAAAGGAAAAAAAGCATCTGTTTTGGATTCAGGTGAATCTGTCCTCTCTAGGGGTATGACTTTGGGCACGGAGATGTGGAGCAAAGTATTCACTCAAATCAGAATATGGAATGGGGCAGAGCTGCAGAAGCTACTGCCATTCCCAGGAATAATAAGCTAAGGGGGTATCCGACACCTTTAAGTGCTAGTGTGGGTGAGCAAAGACTCCTGAGCTTGGCACTTGAAAGATCTTTGAGTGAAAACATAATTAGACACTTTGCATAAACAGCAATAGGAGTCTATATAACACTCCAGCGAGGACTAATGTGAGGGAGGAACATGCACTTTGCAGAGAGAATCTGAGGTCTTGGCCCTCACCAAGAATAAGAGGAGGAGGACAGAAGACTGTATGAGGATAATTTATTTCATTATTTCTGAAAAAAGTAAAAGAAATGCTTTCACCAGGTCCTTAAGTGAGGAATAATATAACACAAATTGAAATTCGATCTTCTTCACATAGGATTTACCTATACAACTAAGTCTCTTCTAAGTATCCTTCCCCAAATCTTCAAGATTGTATGCCTCATATGGGCTAGGTATGCCTCATATGGGCACCAGTGTGTCTTCTCCCTTTGGCTTGTTTATTCAATAACTTTGTATTTATCGTTTATTCTTTAAGAAGTAAATTCTTATTTGTGCATCTCTGAATTACCAGGCATGGCTGCTAGGCAGTAGGGATATACAGGTAAACAAAACAGACATTGTTTCTGTCTTCAGGCCTCTTTGTTCCAGGGGAGGAGAAATACAATGAATCAATACAACTTGTTGATTTGAATCAACAAATCAATAAATAAGAGACATATAGATTGTGATGAGTGCAATGAAGGAAATGTAGTGGTGGTTGAGATGGAAGCTAACTGAGGTGGGCAACTTCAGATAGCGTAGTAACAGAAGACCTTTGTACAGAGATGCCAGGTGAGCTGAGATCTCAAGAATGGGAAAAGGTCAGCTATTTGCAGAGCTAGAAGAGCATTCCTGATGGTGGATAGCAGGGTCAAGGGCCTGAGTGCAAAATAGCTGACTGCATATAAGACACTGAGAGGTTGGCGAGGCTAGAATAGATGGATTGAAGATCATGGTCCAAATTGGTCTTCTTTACATCTCCCTAGAACACTGCCTTAGGCTTATTTATATTTTGGTAGGTTATATGTCATATGCCAACAGAGAACAGTGAGACTGCAAAAGAGGGAATGTCTTTTGGAGGAGTTGAGAAAGACTTCAGAGGGGAGTCACGTCTTAGGGAGATGAGGAGTCAGTCACAAAGTTTGGCAGAGCAGAAAGGAAAAGAAGGAAAATAACTGATATGATTAGAAGAAACAGCCTGTAAAAGATCATAAGAATGGTCACTACAGGAAAGGAAGAGATGCTCAGAGTGGCTGAAGTGTGGGAATACAGAGCCCACAAGGAACAAGAGGAGCGGCAAGAGAAAGAACTGGTTGAGGTCAGATAATGACATATTATTCACCCTAGTAAGAAAAATTGCTTCATCCTTCATCTACCAGGGAGTTGGTTATAGTACATACTATTTAAAACATGATTTCTCATTAAAATAACCCTGAAAAGGAAACATATTAGGTTTCAGGAAAGCTAATAGGGAGTCATCCTCTGTTTTTGTAAATCTGTGTCATTGGCCAGGTACCTGCACATATCGCTGTAGTGGGGGTCCTCAATCCTGTTACTACTATTCAATATTTCTAGAGCTCAGCACATCAGAGAGATTATGGACTTGGTCCAGAGCTTCTGTGGCTCTCTGCTCTTTATCACACACGAAGTCATTATAAATTGTCCATGCAGAAGGAAGAGCTGTGCCGTCTCCCTTCCACTGATCACTTTTAGTAACACACATACACACTGCTCTGCTTTTTCGCCAACTCACTGCAGGACAGAGGAATAAATACATAATGGAACATGCAAAGTCTGCTTGCTTCTTCGGTGAACACAAAGCACATACTGGTGACTCTTCTCCATTATTTCTTTTATTCTGTGTTTTTGTTTGACTGCCAAGGAAGGGAATAACAGACATGAGACCCACAGATGGTACTCTGATATCTAATCAGCCTTCATAACTCTGCCCACCCCAAAACTACAGATGTTCTGAAAGACATGGATAGGATACTGGAA
Source organism: Homo sapiens (assembly GCF_000001405.40). NCBI lineage: Eukaryota > Metazoa > Chordata > Mammalia > Primates > Hominidae > Homo > Homo sapiens. The sequence continues at coordinate 80,441,293 of NC_000011.10, forward strand.
AAATTCTTAAAAGAATAAAAGGAAAAAATAAGGCTCTGGCAGATGTTAGGCTTGGGGGTTGGAGTTCACAGTTCTTTTAAAAGCAAATTCAGCATTAACGTAGCTAGAATAAAAATAACATTGCACTTAATGTAGTATTTAGTATTTTAATAAAATCATCTACTCTGCCCTGGGAGCAATATGGTGTGCTGGTTAATAACATGTCTCTCGGAATAAGCCAACCATGAATGGATTCCAGGCTTGGTTTCGCCATTTACTAGTTGTAACACGTTGAACAAATTTCTGAAGATCACTTAACTTCAATTTCTCGATCTGTAAACTAGTATATGATAATAATACCTACCTCAAGAGTTGTCCCAAGGGTTAACCAAGATGATGTGTCTCATGCAGTCCTTGTAATAGGATGGTGATGAACACCATCCTTTCTCTACTCTCTCTAGTCCTCTCATTGAGGGCTCCGCCTGGTAGCACAGCAGTAAAGGATCCTAGGCCCATATGTTATGGCACTCTCCTTGCATCCTACCCAGGCATTTCATCTCAGATGGGAATTTCAATGGGAGAAGTGAAAAGGGATATGGGAAAACTATTTTTTTCTTTCTATTCTGCTTTCTTATGGCATTTTGATTGGTAAGACTTGAAGTTTCATTTGAGAGCAGAAAATGCTTTCTCTCTAGAGTGTCTTCAACCCTGGACAGGAAAAGGATATCTGAGTCATGAGATGATTCAAGATTCACGGCTTTAGGGGGAAAAATAACATGGGATTTCTTTTGGTTTCTTTCAGTCCACGTAAGCAGGTGTTGCAAACATGTAAGGATTACAAGTAAAAGAATTAATCCAGAGCGGTAGATGAATTTTGCAGGAAGAACACTTTGCTTTGCATCTCTGGAGTTCAAGGACTGGCAGTTCCACAAATCAAGCACAGAGTTGAGAACCAACATCACTGTATCAGATACTTTACTTTCCCACACATGTTCCTGGCCATTTGATTATTCAGCCCATGTTTAATTACTTCATTCACTCAAGTCATAATCATGTATTGAGCTATAAATTAGCCCTAGGGATAAAGAAATTTTAAAACCTCAATCTTTGCCCTCAGCATGCTCAGTCTTCATGAAGGAAAAGAACATAAACAGATTTTTTATAAGAAAAGTACATGACATTATGAAAACACAGAGAGGAACAAAAAGAAGGAACACATCCACTGATATGAAACATACTATGGTACTGAGGGAGAACTCACCTGTCACACACAGAACGTCAGCTTCATGAATGACATAGTGAGATTGTTTCTTGTTCACACTGAGGCCAGCTTGACCCTGTGACACTGAAGCTATAGAATGAGTGATAGCAAAGGAATCTGCTGGGCCAGAAAGGCTAGAGGGAGGGATGCTAAAAATTCTAGCCTCTGTCATCTCACCAAAGCTCTTCTGTTCAGTTGGCATTATTCTGCTATCTCCAATTGACCATGTAAAAGAGGAATTTAAAGCTAATTAGCATGCAATAACTTTCCTCCTTGCTCTTTTAAAATCTAAATTGAATACTCATGAGGGGGCCTGTTCTGAAGAAGCTAATAAGAGCACCATGGTAATAATTAATACTACATTCACTGATATATGTCATTGTTGTGTCTTTCTATTAACTGGGTATTTTTTAATTGAAAAGGCATTAAGCTGGGTCTATGCAGTGTGTGTGTGTGTGTGTGTGTGTGTGTGTAGATAGGTAGAAAAAAAAAACCACTATCAGCAACAGTGAGTTCCTATAACTGTCACTCATTGAAATGGATTTTATTATGGGACCACTAACATCAACTGCATGTTTTCCATGTGCCAGGCACTTTGTTAGACACTGAGGATACAGAAAAAAAAATATGGTTCATGACCTCTAAATCAAACTATAAATATGTAACTTTAAGGTAAGAACAAAGTGCTGAGAGAACACAAAGGAGCAAGATTTGGGAGCAAGTCAGGGCTAATAGGGTGTATGGGAATTAATCTGTTAAAGAAGGAAGGAAGTGGGATGATTATGGCCTCCAAATATGAGAAACTGCTAAAGCAAAGGCATACAATTATGAAGCAATGTGATGAAATCACTTGTAACCCTTTTGCTAATAATAAAGGGTCAAGTGTAAGTCAACAAGTGGCAGAAAAGGCGGTTGGAGATGTAGGCTTGGCATTCGTTACTACACATTAGCCTCAGAGTATTCCTGGGAGCTAAGAACCATTCTTCTCTTACAGGTGAGGAAACCAGGGCCAGAAAAAAATAAGTGACTTGACTTAGATTTCACCTATTAAATGAGGGAGTCAGAGTTAGGTACAAGTTCTTCCTAACCCTAAATCCTTTCTTCTTTTCATATCTCATGATGCCTGGATGTAAAACAGCCAGTCTGACTCTGAAACATGAGGTGTTTATGTTGCAATGCTGAAGCAAAACATCAAAGTTTTAGCCTGAATAAAAATGTGATTATTCTTTTCTTCAACACTGAGGGTTATCACTAAAAAGACACTTTATATTTCTAAAGGATGGGATCATTTTAATCCTTGAAAAGCCTCTGAATGGATTAGTAGTGGATACATAGAATCATAAAATTAAGAATTATAACAGCCCCCAAAATGTATTTCCATTTGTAGTCTTGACCTTTTTTTTAAAGAACCTAGGGCAATTTAAAATAAAAAAGACACAAGAAGTTAAAATGAGCACGTAATCAATCAGCTGTGATATGTAGTAAATATGCCAAACCAAATCTGACTCAGAAAGGGAAACATTTACAGTTATTTTACACAAAGTTCTCCATCAATTCTTCTCTATATATTCTATTCTATCAACTGAGTCATCAACATGTCAAAAGTGGGGAAGGAAGGGGAACATTTTCAGTTGAAAGTGAGCACATTTACTTTCTACCTTCTCCACTTACCTAGGTATCTAATACTCTGTAAAAGTTCTGAGAAGCTTTTTTTTTTTTTTTTTTTTTTTTTTGAGACAGAATCTTGCTCTGTTGCCCAGGCTGGAGTGCAGTGGTGTGATCTCGGCTCACTGCAACCTCTGCCTCCCGGGTTCAAGCAATTATCCTGCCTCAGCCTCCTGAGTAGCTGGGACTACAGGTGTGTGCCACCACGCCCAGCTAATTTTTTGGATTTTTAGTAGAGACGGGGTTTCACCGTGTTAGCCGGAATGGTCTCGATCTCCTGACCTCATGATCCACTGACGTAGGCCTCCCAAAGTGCTGGGATTACATAGAGGACTTCTTAGAGCTCCACCCTGAACTTCCAAAATCCTAAACTCAAAAGTTTATACAACTAGTAAAACTAGTAAAACTTCCTACTAGTAAAACTGAGGAGGAAGCCCATGATGGAGAAGGTTGGCCTTCCAGTTGCCTTGCTTGGGAGCTTAGGTAGAGAATAGAAGATAAGAGATGAAGTTTTCTGTCTTTGTTCATTGGGTTTGGACAATTTTCATGTTTTTAATATTTCTAAAGTTCAGTTGCACCTTAAAATTGGTAATGCCTTACCTTCACTTCTCCCCCAAAAATATTTTTGAGGTGTCTCAAAGTTGACAGACCCTTAGGATCCCAGAAATATGATCATATATGTCTCATACCTATATGTATTCTAGGAAATGTTGATCTAGACCAGCCTCGTTTGTTTTACTTTTCTGCCAATCAATCTAAAACTTATAAAACTTGTAAAATAAAGTCTACTCAATCTTACCTTTTTCATCAACATTGCTAAAAATGATATATTTTTAAAAGTTTTTTTTTTACTTATCAGAAACTTGTTTTCTTTTATTTTATTTTATTATTATTATACTTTAAGTTTTAGGGTACATGGGCACAATGTGCAGGTTAGTTACATAGATATACATGTGCCATGCTGGTGCGCTGCACCCATTAACTCGTCATTTAGCATTAGGTATATCTCCTAATGCTATCCCTCCCCCCTCCCCCCACCCCACAACAGGCCCCAGAGTGTGATGTTCCCCTTCCTTTGTCCATGTGTTCTCATTGTTCAATTCCCACCTACGAGTGAGAACATGTGGTGTTTGGTTTTTCGTCCTTGCGATAGTTTACTGAGAATGATGATTTCCAGTTTCATCCATGTCCCTACAAAGCACATGAATTCATCATTTTTTATGGCTGCATAGTATTCCATGGTGTATATGTGCCACATTTTCTTAATCCAGTCTAGCATTGTTGGACATTTGGGTTGGTTCCAAGTCTCTGCTATTGTGAATAGTGCCACAGTAAACACACGTGTGCATGTGTCTTTATAGCAGCATGATTTATAGTCCTTTGGGTATATACCCAGTAATGGGATGGCTGGATCAAATGATATTTCTAGTTCTAGATCCCTGAGGAATCACCACACTGACTTCCATAATGGTTGAACTAGTTTACAGTCCCACCAGCAGTGTAAAAGTGTTCCTATTTCTCCACATCCTCTCCAGCACCTGTTGTTTCCTGACTTTTTAATGATTGCCATTCTAACTGGTGTGAGATGGTATCTCATTGTGGTTTTGATTTGCATTTCTCTGATGGCCAGTGATAGTGAGCACTTTTTCATGTGTTTTTATTAAGAACCAATCTCTCTTTGATTCAGTAGATCTCAGTATACTTGAATTTATTTTCTTCCTTAAGTTTCTCAGACCATTGTATTTTTAGCCCATTAGATTTCTCCTCTTCCTTATCCTTCATTGTAAATAGCCTTAAAAGCTCAGTCATAGTGTTAAGCATTCTCAGAGAAATCATGACTTCTCTGGAATTTTACAATCAAGAGTCAGGCATCCTTGTTACTTTTTAATTACTGCTATTCTATCATCTATTGGCTTTAATTGTTAATATTTTATCTATCTCTTACTCCATACTACAAGTTTTTGAGGATAGGGTCTTTTGTATTTCAGCTCTATATATCCTGTATAAATATTCATGGAATTGTTGAGTAGAATAATAAGTGAATAAATGATTGAATCAATGGACGAGTGAATTAAATCTCTAAAATTTACTTTTAGTGTGATATCTCCCCTTAGTCCACCTGATAAACCCTCATCACCAAAATATTCTTCACCATCAATCCCACAGTCTTTTTGTTTATTCTTGCCAAATCACAGCCCTGCTGGTGCTCTGTGCTTTCTTAGCATTTTTTAACCATATCTCTAGTGTGTTGTAATTGTTTATGAACATGTCACCCACATACATTATGAGCTACCACCTAGTAGGTCCTCTATAAATCTAAGCTGAAAGAGCCTGAAATCATACTCCTCCCTCACCTTCACATTGCCTTTGGAGGGATTGAAAATAATTCCAAAGAGATCTTGTGTTCTTGTTATCACTACCACTCCCTACACCTTTGACAGGAATAGAGAAGAACCACCCTCCTGGTCCTGAAAGATCACAGTCCCTCACTCTCACTGCCTCTGCCCCTGCTCTCCACTGCTCCACATGCTTGCTCCTAGGAAATCTCACCAAGTCTTTAGGAGGCACATCACACTGTCCTGTGATGATGGGTTCCACCATTTGTATCTCCAGCCACAGTCTCTTCTGAAAATTCCAATTATATCCAACTGTCAGCATATTTGCACTAGAATGCAAACATGCACCTGAAAGTTAACTAATAGTATCACCAGAGTGAGAATGGCTCCTCATTTTTTTAGGTGAAAGCTGTGAATGCGAAGGTCTCCTGAGTTAGGTGAGTAACACAGTTGCATGAAGCAGCATTCAGGAAAAGATAAAAGAAAGTTTTAAGACTGTGGCACAATGGAGAGCATGTAACCCATTTAAAGGGGAATCAACCACCCAACTCCAGTTGATTGTTGCCGTTGGAGAATGTGGTCCCAAGATGCCACATCTTCTAATTTTCAGGAGATGCAAAAACAAAAGTCTTGGTTTTTTAAACAATAGTTGCTTATTAAAAACAAGCCAAAAACAAAACACTTAAAACAGGCCAAAGAGAAAGTAGAGGATGAGAGAGATAATAGAAAATTTTAAAAAAAGGAAAATACGTCTATAGAGCTACAGACTCTGAATAAAACTAGCATGCAATCTCAAGCCTATAGAAAAAATTAGCATGAACATACTAAATTTTCATAAACCCTTCTAGCTGTGTGTATTTGAGAGTAGTCTGACAGGAGAGAAGGTTTAATCATAGTAATCATAAAGTTGGTTAGTTCCCTGAATCAGATTCAGCTAACACTTATTGAGAGTTGATATATGCCATGTAACATGCTAAACTCTTTTATTAATGTTTTAAATTTTTCATCAAAGTAATACACGCACATAATTAAAAAGTCAAACTGCTTTATAAGACTTATTATGGCAAATGGCGGTACTCTGAATTCCCCTTCCTCACAATTCATATTCCACCCAGGCAAACACACTACACTTTTACCTCCACATCTCCAAATTAGATTAGTATCCTGCTATTTATTGACTGTTAGTTTCTGGCATTATATATTTAATTCCAACTATTGAAGATTGGGCTATAGTTTTTACATATATTCTTTCTACCTCTAAATATAGAAACACACAATTTCCATTGCCCCATCCTCCCAGTATAATTTTATTTTAAGTATTATTAATTCAGTATTCAGAGTTTACATTATTTTGGCTGTCTGAAATCTGTTTACTGCTTTGCCATGAATTCTATTATAATTACTTTATTTCTGTTTTTACCAAATTGTTTTTGCCTGAAGTTAATATAGTTAATGTCTTTCTAGTTATTTAGTTTTCTAAGAACTTCTTTTAAAATTCAGTTTCAAATTCTTGCCTAGTTGATTACAGTTTGTCTCAACATACATCTGTTTCAGTGTTTTGAGAACATCTCTCCAAAAGACCTTGCACCTGCTCCAAACATACTTGTTGTTCCTATATTTACTGGACAGCTGTCATTCTGTAATGTGTCATCATTTTTTTACTAGAATCTCCCTCCTTTCCCATTCCCCTTCTCCCTATCCTTTTCCTTTCCTTCCTTTGAATTGGGTCATGGAATTTCAGAATCCCATCTCCTCTTTCTTGAGTTACTCCTTGTTTTGGTGGAATACCTCCTTTAGGAGTTTCCTGAAAATGGGTGTTTAAAGGGTTTTGACTACTAGTGTGTAAGAAATATTAAAATATCCTTATTTTACCCACATTGCCAGGTACATTTGACTGTGTATAGAATTCTAAGTTAGTAATCATTTTCCTTCAGAATTTTGAAGATATCAAAACCACCTTTGCAAAAATTATAACAAAATTATGATGGTGAAGAGATCTGACTGAGTCCATCTTGCTTCTAACTTCCAAACTGTCCTTGTTCATTCCTTGGTGCAGGCCAAACTAACTTTGGGAAAAACTTAGCTTATATTTTGACTTTGAAACAAAGACAATAACAGCCCTTTCCCAAAACAAACCCCCTTCCTGCCTAGAGACTAGACTGCCTTTGCTGACCAACAAATTAGCCACAAGATTAGAAAATTTGTTTAAGAGTCATGCAGCTGGAGGCTGCAAGATTCTGAATCTTCTCAAATTGCTCCTGAGGATAACATTACTATTGTAAAACCTGGGATCAGTGCTTGAGAGATTTCAAGCAGACCGTGCATTCTGATGCACCAGCTGACATCACCTAGATCCATAAACTGGCTCCAATGGTCTTGTGGCCTCCACCCAAGAGCTCACTCAGCATAAGAAGACAGCTTTGACTCCCTATGATTTCATCTTCCACTTAACCCATCAGCACTCTCCAGTTTCCAACCCCCTATGCACCAAATTATTCTTAAAAACTCCCATCCCTGAATTTTTGGGAAGAATGATTTGAGTGATAGTAAAACTCCTGGTCTCCCGTACAGAGAGCTTTGTGTGAATTAAACTCTTTTCTGCAATTCCCCTGTCTTGATAAATTGACTCTGTCTAGGCCACAGGCAAGGAGAACCCGACAGGTAGTTACAACACCGTCTTATTCTCTTCTGGTTCCAGTGTTGCTATTGAGAAATCCATGCAAAACCCTTTGGATTTCTGAACTTTATGTTACCTATTTTTTTTGTTCCTTTTTGGAATATTTTAGAATTCTCTTTCTCAGTATTATAAAATATTATAACAGTATACATTGATATAGGTCAATTTCATCCACTATGCTGCTGCAGAAACAGAATTTTAATCTGAAAAAGCATGTCCTTCAATTTTGAATGTCGTCTTTGAATTATCTTAGATAACTTCTTTTCTTTCTGATTCCATTTCTGGGCATAGTTTTAATTTGGTTTTGGACCTCCTAGACAAAGCTTATCTTTTCCTTTCTCGTTTGTATTTTTCTGCTCCTCTCTATGAAATTGCCTTCCACTGAACTGTTTATGTTTTTTGATTTCTGAAGGCTCTTGTTTGTT